>NC_000003.12:195517568-195668567 GCF_000001405.40 Homo sapiens
TTTAATCCTCCATTAAACTTAAACAAAAAATATATTTATGTACTAAATATGTGAAATGTAATATCTTATAAGCAGAGACGGACAAAATGCCATAGTTATTTTTCAAAAGAAATGGCGTTAAAACAAACAAACAAAAAACGCTGCCTCTATAACAAAAAATAAAATAAAAATAAAAATGGATAATAAAAACATGCCACAGCTACTATGTAAGATGAAGTTTGCTCAAGTTAAATATAAGTTAAACAGACTATGGGATATATAATGGAAATGAAAGGCTATATGAAATAGACTAAAAGGTTGAAGCATATTACGGAATAACAAAAAGTACTGTAATCCTGACACTATGAGACAGCAACTCATCAGGCTGTATCATAGAATTATTCATATTTAATACTATGCTTACCAAAATGGTAATACAATAATTATTTAATTTCCTAAGACTTAACCATTCTGGGCACCACAAATAACATCAGTTACGCCTCCACTGAAAAGTATGAAGTTTGTAAGTACAAGGAGTAGGTGGTGGGCACAAAAAATCTCCATTAGTGATGCAGAAGATTCACTTCATTAAATACCAGAGTAACAGTTCATAAAAAATAAATAAAACCTATTTCCTATGACAGATCAGGAGTTGCTAGGCTGCAGGGGCTGGGTGTCTAAGACTTAAAAAAAAAATAAAAACAAAAACAGTTAAATAACTTGTCAATCCAACAGTCAAAAGAATCCGTATTGGAAAGATATGACATACTTTGTATCTAACGGGATGTAAAACCAAATCTTCCATACTAAAAACATGTTTCAGGCTGGGCGCGGTGGCTCATGCCTGTAATCCCAGCACTTTGGGAGGCCGAGGCGGGCGGATCACAAGGTCAGGAGATTGGGACCATCCTGGCTAACATGGTGAAACCCCATCTCTACTAAAAATACAAAAAATCAGCCAGGCGTGGTGGCAGGCGCCTGTAATCCCAGCTACTCGGGAGGCTGAGGCAGGAGAATGGCGGGAACCCAGGAGGCGGAGCTTGCAGTGAGCCGAGATCACGCCACTGCACTCCAGCCTGGGTGACAGAGCGAGACTCTGTCTCAAAAAAAAAAAAAAAGTTTCATTTAAAAATTTTAAATTTTAGATCGTTATGACAAATACAACATGACCTAAAATATTCAAAACAAAATATAGCTTAATATGAAGACAAACATCCTTGCCTAAAGGCAAGTAAACCATAAGAAAGCCATATAATAAAACATATGGTCTAAAATCAAATCAACTCTAGGTATAAAAACTTTATTATTCTGAAATTGGCCATGCGGGTTAAAACTTTAGAAACATTTGGTATAATAAAGCGAATCTCAGCAAAATTTTCTGTTTTTTCACAAGTTTAAAGCAAAATAAAGTACATTATCTTAGGCATAGACCATTACAAAAGTCTCAGTGACATTTTCCAAACATCTAACCTTGATTTGATTCTTCCGTATTCATGCTTTCTCCATCTGCAGTCTCTAACATTTCTTCATCTTCATCATCATCATGTAGGTCTTTTGAAATTAATTGTCTGGCTAGTTTGATATTGAGTCCTTCATTGTAGTGAAGCTTCCTTTTCATTTCAAATTGTCGCTTTTTTTCTATAAGATGCAAAATGTAAACTTAGGAAGTTTGAGCTCAAGGATTGGCCCATGCCTGTTTTATAAATAAAATTTTATTGAAACAGTGATGCTCATTTGTTTTTGTCATGCTTAAGGCTGCTTTTGTGTTCAATGGCAGAGTTGAGTAGTTCGTAATAGAGACCACTGGGCCCTGCAAAATTTAAAATATTTACTATCTGGCATTCATCTCAATGGAAGAACAAGAATATATCCAGCCATTAGAAATTATATTTGTGAAGAAAGATTAAAGCTATGGGAAAATTATCCAGAAAGAGTTAAATGGTGACAAAAGAGCGAGTTACAACACCATATACTATATTTACTATGTACAATGCCTGTCACATACACACACAGAGAGAAAAATAAGACTCAGCAATTAACAGTGTTTAATTCTGAGTCAAGGAACAATGAAGTAGTTTTAATATTTTATTATTTTCTATTTTTATAATTAAGAAAAAATCCTTTAAAACAATTCTTACCTGTTAAGAAACTGCCATGATTTAAGACATTGTTGGCTAAAAACGTAACCTCATTTTCAGAGTAATTTTAAGAAAAACGTATTATAAAGTAATGGTGAAGTGACTCCAAAATATTTCATTTTAGTCTTCACCATAGAAACATAAAGCTGGCAGCAACACAACTGATCACACTAGAGCAACTATTTATGAATACATAATTTTAAGGTTTTTAACTTCCTTAGATCAGAAAATTAAAAAAAAAAAAAAACAACAGAAAAGGGGGGGCCAATATAAAATTGCCAGCTATTTTACCAATGAACAGCATTAAAATTATTCACCGTTGTTTTATTTTTTCTTTTTTTCAAGATGGAGTTTCACTCTAATTGCCCAGGCTGGAGTGCAATGTGCAATCTTGGCTCACGGCAACCTTAGCCTCCTAGGTTTAAGCGATTCTCCTGCCTCAGTCTCCCGAGTAGTTGGGATCACAGGCATGTGCTACCACTCCTGGCTAATTTTGGTAGTTTTAGTAGAGACGGGGTTTCATCATGTTGGCCAGGTTGGTCTCCAACTCCTGACCTCAGGTGATCCGCCTGCCTTGGCCTCCAAAAGTGCTGGGATTACAGGCATGAGCCACTGCGCCTGGCTTCACCATTGTTTTATTAAAAATTTCATCAAAATATTTCAATGTCAAAAATGCACAGAGGCCAGATGCTGGGGCTCATGCCTGTAATCCCAGGAGTTCAAGACCAGCCTGGGCAACATGGCAAGAACCTATCTCTACAAAAAAATTACAAAAAATTAGCTGGGTGTGGTAGTACACGACTGTGGTCCCAGCTACTGGGAAGGCTGAGATGGGAGGACTGGCTAAGCTTAGAAGGCTGAAACTGCAGTGAGCCGCGACTATGCCACTGCACTCCAGCCTGGGTTGACAAGTGAGACCGTAGCTCAAAAATTTATTTATTTACTTTTTAAAAAGCAGAGACATCTCTCAATAAGGGTATTTACAGTACTTTCTTCTTTTTTTTAAATTTTAATTTTTAGAGATGAGATCTCACTGTTGCCCAGGCTGGCTTCCAACTTCTGGGCTCAAGCAGTCCTCCTACCTCAGCCTCCCAAGTAACTGGAACTACAGATGCGTGCCACCACACCTGGCCTCCAAAGTACTTTCTCTTTGTTTGATTTTTACTAGAGACGGGGTTTCACCATGTAGGTCAGGCTGGTCTTGAACTCCTGACCTCAAGTGATCCACCTGCCTCAGCCTCCCAAAGCACTGGGATTACAGGTGTAAGACACCGCACCTGGCCAGTACTTTCTTAATTCCCTAAGCTTTTATCAACATCTATACTTATATTTTTAAAACTTATACTGAAGTCCGGGCGCAGTGCTCACGCCTGTAATCCCAGCACTTTGGGAGGCCGAGGAGGGCGGATCATGAGGTCAGGAGTTTGAGAACATCCTGGCTAACATGGTGAAACCCCGTCTCTACTGAAAATACAAAAAATTTGCTGGGCGTGGTGGCACACGTCTGTAATCCCAGCTACTCAGGAGGCTGAGGCAGGAGAATCACTTGAACCTGGGAGGTGGAGGTTGCAGTGAGCGAAGATCGCGCCACTGCACTCCAGCCTGGGCGACAGAGCAGGACTCTGTCTCAAAAAAAAAAAAAAAAAAAAAAAAGAACTGCAATAATTACCCAGTTTAGACAATAAAGTATATGAACATACAGTAAACATTCTGCCATAATGATTTATGTAATTTTAAAATCGTTACAAGTTGTTGAGTCATAATTTAATTCCCTATTTTTGGTTAAAGATTTCTGATTTCCTTCATGTTTTCAATGTTTCTTTTGGTTTGTTTTTATTTTGTGAAGGTATATCAGCAATTTTCAATGTTTTTAAGACTATATATATAAAATATATTGTGCATTTGTTCTATTATTTTCTCAGTATGAGCCAGTGTTTTTGAAACTGTGCATCATGATTATTTATGTACTTATTTATTTTTTTAAAGACAAAGTCTCACTCTGTCACCCAGCCTGGAGTGCAGTGGCATGATACCGGCTCACTGCAACCTCCACCTCCCAGGTTCAAGCAATTCTTGTGCCCCAGCCTCCCGAGTAGCTGGGATTAGAGGCGCCCACCACCATGCCTGGCTAATTTTTGTATTTTTAGTAGAGATGGGGTTTCGCCATGTTGGCCAGGCTGGTCTCAAACTCCTGGCCTCAAGAGATCCTCCTGTCTCAGCCTCCCAAAGTGCTGGGATTACAGGCATAAGCCACCAAACCCGGCCATCATGATTCTTAATAAGTCATAACTAACATTTAAAAAGGTTAAGGCAGACTATTTATATGAATACAACAAGTGAATTATTCTTTTTATACCTACTTTTACTTTTTATGGGGGAATATCTTAAGTTGTTAAAAGTTAGTATTTAGTGAGTGCTCACAATATGCCAAGATCAGTGATAAGTGCTTTAAATGCTTTAACTCATTTAGTAGTCACCAAAATATTTTTACAGCTGCCAATTTAGAAATGAGAAAACGGAGGCTCGGAGAAATTATGCAAATTAGCCAAGTGGCATACCTGGAGCACAAACTTAGGTTTGTCTGTCTTCTTAGACAATAATCTTAATTGTTATGCTGTGAGTTACAGTTTTTCTCCCTAAGCTATCTACTGTCAATAGACAACAATTTTTCAGCCACGTAACATCTATATAATTCAGTAATAACCCCACCAGTGGAAAATGAATTAATGAAATTATAATTAGTCAAATGGCTCCCCCTGCTGGTTGACTCATGAAATCACAACTTGAGAAAAACATCCCTCAATTAAAACTGACATTAACAAAAAATTCCTTATTCTCAACAGATCATGTTTTTAGAGAGTAATGAGGAAACAAACTCCAGAAACTATTTCTATTTGAAATACTTTTCAAGGATCTTTTGGGGTATATTTTGGGAAAATAAATGGAAAGTCACTGAAAGTTGAGATACAATACAACTTGAGAATATGCTACATGTAAAATTTCTCTCGTACAAATATTAGGCTCAGCCCATCATAGCTCTGTTGAACAGGCTATATTCTGAAGATGATAGGAAAGACTAGTAAATGATATCTTAGCAGCTACACGACAAAGATCCTTCGTTCTAAAGTTTCTCAGCTTCTTCACGGTACAGGAGGTAGTCCCTACGCCACAACACTTCAAGTAGGTTTCTACCATATTTTCCTTCTTCCTCTTTTTTGTGAGTATGTGCTTTTCTTATATCTTTCCCCTCTACCCACAAGCTTGGATTTTCCTTTAAAAATAGTTGCAAATAAACTATACACAATTTTTTAACTCCTGAGAAGATTATATATTCACATGAATCAAAAAGTATAAAATGCAACAAGATAAGACATACTCCTTTTCTCCCAGCCTCCACGGGTAACCACTTTTACTTGTGGAAACAGAAAGCACGAGCAGGCAGCAATGCCTTAAATGTGTATGTGCTGAATGGCCTACGAGACCCTCTTCCATCCCTGTGAAGGGGAGGGCTGTCTCCATCTCCCTTCCTGTGACACTACTGCTCCTTTTGATTGATGGGACCTAATAAAGACCTTCACTCTGCATCTGATCATCTTGGTTCATTTGTTAAGTTGCATCACTGTCCAACAACACAAAAAGCATAAGCAACTGGGAAATTAGCTCTTTCAGCTACCCACTTTAAGACCGTCCAAACGCTCAATGACTTGAAATGCATTAATTTAAAAAGTATTTACTGAGTATCTACTCTGCACTAAAAAGTACAAAGAAAATAATACTTATAATTACTTTAAAGATGGTAATACTTCCCCATATTCTTGAAATCAGGGGTAAAAAACTATTACACAACAAAACACACAAGTAGTATCTGAATTATAAAGATGTTGCTTTCATTCTCCTCCCCTGTGTGTCCCCAAAATGAAAACCATTTGCTCATCTTCCAAATAATGGATTTATCTTAGCAAAAATTACTAGCACCATGATGAAAGCAGTAAAGGAAATAAACTACCTCGTTCTTCAGGTGAGAGGTCACTATCCTCCTCTCCACTGCTTTCTTGTTCCTGAATCCGATACTTTGGCTCCAAGCCTTCAGCTGCAGCTAATCTATGCAACAATCATGTACAAAGAAATTAACAGTGATGTTTTGATATTATTTAAGCGCCTTATTCAACTGTTGATTCTTACAAAAACATCTGAAGATCATTAATGTGCTAGCTATAACCTGATGAGGAAAATAAAAGGCAAGAGAGCAGAAACGTGCCGGGCATGGTGGTACACGCCTGTGGTCCTAGCTATTTGGAAGGCCGAGGTGGGAGCACTAGTTAAACCCAGGAGTTTGAGGTTGCAATGAGCTTTGATTGCGCCTCTGCACTCCAGCCTGAGTGATAGAACAAGGCCCTGTCTCAAAAAAAAAAAAAGAATAAAAAGAGTAGAAATGGGCATAGACAAGAACAGTGGAATGGGTGCTAGAAATCAGTAAGTAGCAAAGGAAGAGTGCTTTTATGAATTAACTTATTTTTGCCTTTCTCACTGCTACCTTTAAAAACAGGAAGCAGGGGCCAGGCGCGGTGGTTCACCCCTGTAATCCCAGAACTTTAGGAGGCTGAAACCAGCGGATCTCTTGAGGTCAAGAGTTCGAGACCAGCCTGGCCAATATGGCAAAACACTGTCTCTACTAAAAATACAAAAATTAGCCAGGCTTGGTGGCATGGGCCTGTAATCCCAGCTACTACTGGGGAGGCTGAGGCACGAGAATTGCTTGAACTTGGGAGGTGGAGGTTGCAGTGAGTTGAGATCACACCACTGCACTCCACCCTGAATGACAGAGCGAGACTCTGTCTCAGAAAACAAATAAAACCCCCCACAGGGAAGTGACACATTTCAGTATCCCAAGTGCAGGTACGCTGGTCTTCCTGCCACCTACATACCTTGATTTTAATCAAGAGACAAGACTATAAAAGTTGGTGACTCAGAAGGTGAAAAAAGGGGGAAAAAAGGAAAAAAAAGTCGGCATAAAACATGTTGATCAACAGCCTTTTCTTCCCGCTCATACAGGGACAGCCACGCAGGCTGCTTTCAACTCTGCACGATTATAAACAGCCTAAGTGAAAATGTGCTCCGGTCATTAGTACTTACTTCCTGGCTAAGATGTCTGGCGCCATGGCTTCAGTGGCCTCGGTGTCACTACAGGCATCTTCATCATCCCCCATCATACTAGTATGACAAGCACATTGTAATTAATACCTGAAACATACATTTTCAGCCACAAAAACAAGGGAGAAAAACAATTCCATCAACCTACTTAACATATCAATATATTTATAGCTCTGTTGATATCTTTGAGGTTTAACTTTATATAGTTCCTATTCAATACAAATACTTAAAAGTACAGCACCCAATCAAGAAAAGACTCCAAATGATTAAAAAAAACACATAAATACAGTCTGCCTGCCATATCCACAGGATCCACATCCATGAATTCAACCGTGGATTGAAAATAGCCAGAGAAAAGTAAAATTTCCTCTGTACTAAACATGTAGACTTTTTTCTTATCATTATTCCCTAAATGATACAGTGTGTAACAACTATTTGCACAGTATTTACATTTTATTAGGTAATATAACTAACACAGAGATGATTTAACACATACAGGAGGATGTGCATAATTATATACATCTACAATGCCATTTTATATCAGAGACTTGAGTGTCTGAGGATTTCGGTATCTGAGGGAGGTCCTGAAACCTCCATGGATAATGAGGAATAACTGTACTGAAAACGTAAATGATCTGGAAAAAAAAATACTACAAAGTTCCAATTATTCCATCCAGTGGGAAGGAACAAGTAATGCAAAGTAAATCACTGTCTGGTTTTAGAACATGTATTTCTACATCAATCTTAAGATAGAGACAAAAGATCTACGCAGACACAAGACTGAGTAAAGTAACAAAATTCGATCCCAAAGATCTAATTTCGGAAGTTTACAAGTGATTTAGCTTTCTCACTCTACCCTCTAATGAAAAATTTGCTCCCCACTTCAATGCAAAAATGGGCAACCTTAATTCTTAAGCCACTGCAAAGTATATAAAGCAGAACTCAGCTATTTATAAAATACTGCCAGTTTATACATTTCCTGGTTAATTAAGGTGACAAGTAAGTCTATAGTTTAGATGACGTTCTTTTTTCTAAGGGAAGTTGAAATTGATCTATGTTATTGAGTTTAATCAAGCAAAGTAAGGTAAAATAAACATTTTGTTAATTTATAGAATCGTTCTATAGAAAATTCTAGTTGTAAAATTTACTGAATTATGTTTATATATGTACATGTATACAGAAGCAATAACTTCTTGTATACTAACTGTGAGATTCTTAGATAATAAGACATGATGTTTCTATAAAAAGCATCTTCACTTAAATAAAATTTTTTTTTTTTTTGAGACAGGGTCTCATTCTGTCACCCAGGAGTACAGTGGCACCATCACGGCTCACTACAGCCTCAATTTCCCGGGCTCAAGTGATACTCCCACCTAAGCCTCTTGTGTAGCTGGGACTACAGGCATGTGCTACCATTCCTGGCTTAATTCTTTTTATTTTTTGTAGAGACGGGGTCTCTCTATGTTGCCCAGGCTCATCTCCAATTCCTGAGCTCAAGCAATCCTCCCACCTCAGCCTCCTAAAGTGCTGGGATTACAAGGATGAGCTACCATGGCTGGCCAAATGAAACTCTCAAAAAGAAAAAAGAAAGTCATGGAAAGAAATGATAAAACTGAGCAGTGAACTGATAAAAGCAGGACACAGGTTATCTCTGCATGCACATAGCCTCAATTACTTAGGGACCAAATAACTTTTCTGGTTATTTGAATGGCAAATATCTACCATTCAAATTATATTTATAAACAGTCAAAAAATAATGGCCATAGCTATTCTGAAATTTTTTTTCTTTTTCTTTAGAGATAAGGTCTCCCTCTGTCATCCAGGCTGGAGTGCAATGACGTGATCATGGCTAATTGCAGCTACAACCTCCAGGGCTCAGACAGTCCTCCTGCCTCAGCCTCCTAGCTAGCTGGGACTACAAGTACACACCACCACCTCTGGATAATTTTACTTTTTTTATTTGAGACAGAGTTTCGCTCTGGTTGCCCAGGCTGGAGTGCAATGGCGCGATCTCAGCTCACTGCAACCTCTGCCTCCCAGGTTCAAGTGATTCTCCTGCCTCAGCCTCCCGAGTAGCTGGGGTTATAGGCGCCCACCACCACATCTGGGAATTTTTATGTATTTTCAGTAGAGACGGGGTTTCACCATGTTGGCTAGGCTGGTCTTGAACTCCTGACCTTAGGTGATCCACCCGCCTCAGGCTCCCAAAGTGCTGGGATTACAGGCGTGAGCTGCTGTGCTTAGTCTAATTTGTTTTAATTTTTTTTGTGGAGATAAGAGTCTCACTCTGTTGCCCAGGTTGGTCTTGAACTCCTGGGCAAGAGTTCTTTGGGGAAGGGCGTGGTGGCTCATGCCTGTAATCCCACACTTTGGGAGGCTGAGGTGGGTGGATCACTTGAGGTCAGGAGTTTGAGATCAGCTTGGCCAACACGGTGAAACCCTGTCAATACTAAAAATACAAAAACTAGCCAGGCGTGGTAGTGGGTGCCTGTAATCCCAGCTACTTGGGAGGCTGAGGCACGAGAATCTCTTGAACCTGAGACATGGAGCTTGCAGTGAGCTGAGATCGTGCCACTGCTCTCCAGCCCGGGTGACAGAGTGAGACTCTGTCTCAAAAAAATAAAAAATAAAAAATAAAAAACAGCATTCTTTGGGAGGCTAAGCGATCCTCCTGCTTCAGGCTCCCAAAGTGCTGAGATTACAGGCGTTGAGCCACTGCACCTGGCCTCAACTATTTTTTTAAATCATGTCTGATCTTAATTCTCCTAGGATACTTATCCCCAACTAACACAAGTGAGTGACGGATGGCCACTACATTTAGTAAAAAGAAAGTACACTCTGATTTTGGATTCTGGTACAATAAAGGTTTTAATATACATTTTAGAAGTTGGGCACGGTGATGTGTGCCCATAGTCAGCTACCTGGGAGGCGGAGGAGGGAGGATCACTTGAGTCGGGAGTTCCAGGCTGTAGTGTGCTATAACTGTGCCTGTTAATAGCCACTGCACTGGGCAACATAGCCAGATCTTGTATCTTTTTTTTTTTTTAAGATTTTTAAAGTATATACCTGCAATTTAGGAGAAAAATAAGAATATAAACCTCTTTTTAGCATGCGTATTTTTTTTTAACTAATTGTAATTTTATTGTTTTTCTTCCCCTCAATTTATTTTTACTTCAATAGGTTTTTGGGAAACAAGTGGTGTTTGGTTACACAGGTAAGTTCTTCAGTGGTAATTGCTGA
Organism: Homo sapiens; assembly: GCF_000001405.40. Classification (NCBI taxonomy): domain Eukaryota; kingdom Metazoa; phylum Chordata; class Mammalia; order Primates; family Hominidae; genus Homo; species Homo sapiens. The sequence goes on from NC_000003.12 coordinate 195,528,077, forward strand.
GATTTTGGTGCACCCATCACCCGAGCAGTGTACACGGCACCCAATGTGTAGTCTTTTATCCCTCAACCCCCTCTCACCCCTCCCATCCCCAAAGTCCACTGTATCATTCTTATGCCTTTGCTTAGCTCCCGCTTATAAGTGAGAACATACAAGGTCTGGTTTTCCATTCCTGGGTTACTTCACTTAGAGTAATGGTCTCCAACTCCATCCAGGTTGCTGTGAATGCCATTATTTTGTTCCTTTTTATATATATTCCATGGTACATACATATATACCACAAAAAACTGTGTATTTCTTCACTCAAATTTCATCAGTATTGAGTTTCAGCATCTGTACCTATTTCATTATTTCTTTTTATGCTCATCAGTCTTTAATATCTTCAAGTTTTTTATTTTTACTGTTTTTGTTAGTAACAGGTTATTTCAAATTATCTTCCAAAGTTTTCACCCACTGACTTAAAATACAGTAGTTCTTAACTCTTCTTTCACTACAGAACAAATGGAAACAGCAGTTACCTCTATTTTAATGGTAACTTTTGGATTTATGCTGTCTTAATTCAATGACAAAATATTTTAATCTTGGAAATCTTTTATTTTTTTCAATACAAGGTAGGTAGGGCATAACTATTTTTTTTTTTTTTTTTTTTTTTTTTTTTTGTAGAAAGAGTCTTACTATGTTGCTTAGGCTGGTTTTGATCTCCTGGCCTGAAGCAATACTCCCACCTCTGCCTCTGTAATCTCAAAGTGCTGGGAGTACAGGCAAGAGTCACCATGCCCAGCCAAGGTATTATCTTTTTTTTTTTTTTTTGAGACAGAGTTTTGCTCTTGTCGCCCAGGCTGGAGTGCAATGGTGTGATCTTGGCTTACAGCAACCTCCGTCTCCCGGGTTCAAGCAATTCTCCTGCCTCAGCCTCCCGAGTAGCTGGGATTACAGGTGCCCGCCACCATGCCTGGCTAATTTTTGTATTTTTTTTTTTTTTTAGTAGAGATGGGGTTTCACCACGTTGGCCGGGCTGGTCTTTCACCTCAGGTGATCCGCCCACTTTGGCCTCCCAAGGTGCTGGGATTACAGGCGTGAGCCACAGTGCTCGGCCCAAGGTATTATCTTAATTAGGTATCTATACCTATTTAGAATCCTCATCTTCTCATAATGCTTCTTGCATTATTTTTGTCTTCATACTGGTTACTGCTGCGTAATGTAATTTCACAATTCATTTAGGAAATTCTGAGACTTGAAATTGTCAAAAATTACATGTAATGATCTGAACAACAATATTACATTAAGTTAAAAAATGAAGACATAAACAGTAATAATGACACCTATCTTTCAGTGGGTTACCATCCATGCAGTTATGCTTCTCTGCAAAGAGACTGAGTAAACCCCAGATTTCTACTTGGGAAGCAAACAAGCCCATATCTCATCTTCCTTTCATGGAAGTTAAAACTAATATATGCACCATTAGTAGCTAGCAACCACTGAGGTGCAACAAATAAACATTTACTACTACCATTATAATGTACAAAATGGCTTTCTTAATTTTAAACTTACACATCACTTAAACCATTACTAAACAAATTGCAGTTAGGTTACTGACTTCACTAGTGCTCCAGTAACAAATCTACAATAAAACAAATTCAAATAGGCTGTTATCCAGACGTTCATATGAAATGCAAAATGGAAGTAAGTCACAAGAGGAATGACGTCTACGTAACATTACCTATGGTAAGGAGTGCTTGGTTCATCTATTTTCATTAAACCATAGTCTTTGTCTGCTGGATGATACGTCGCCAAGATGTTCATTTCATCCCACTTCTGGGATTTTTTGCTAAAATTAAAAAGAAAAAACGTTTTTCCCAATGCAGAAAAAGATAAACCTGAATATCAAAATTCACAAATGTCCAAATTTAACATTTCAACTTCTATTTGATGGCCAACCTCTATTTTCACATATACTTTCTTGGAATAGAAGCTGACTCAGGGTAAAAACCATTAAGTAACTACAATAAAATGTCAGTAAATATAGAACACCTAGTGCCCACATATTAAAAACACAATATTTAGTATCTATATCAGGCATTCAAAACATTACCATACTATGACATGCTTAGCCTTCATTTGGCCTATAAAATAATGCAAGTCAAAATCTATACATTCGCTGAAGTCAGTAGGCATTTTTGATCTATATATCAGTAACTGTTCGGTAAAAAACACAACAGGAGTACTTCCTTGGCATAATTTCTTTCTGGGATATCTGTTAACACTCAGAACATAAAGATTCAAACAATAAAACTATAGAGAAAACCTCATCAAACTCAGACACCACTAAATCATTAGATTGCAAATAAATTACAGCTCTGTTTATTTCTAATCTAGAAAAATAAAGGTTTGCTCAGAAATGGTGTATTCAAACCTACTTGAAGAGCAATAGACGTTCTCTCTAAGTACTTTATTATTTTTGTTTTGTTTTGAGACGGAGTCTCACTCTGTTGCCCAGGCTGGAGTACAGTGGCGCCATCTCGGCTCACTGCAACTTCCACCTTCCCTGTTCATGCGCTTCCCCTGTCTCAGCCTCCCGAGTAGCTGGGATGACAGGCGCGCACCACCACGCCCAGCTAATTTTTGTATTTTTAGGAGAGACAGGGTTTCACCATGTTGGCCAGGCTGGTCTTGAACTCCTGATCTCGTGATCTGCCTGCCTTGGCCTCCCAAAGTGCTGGGATTACAGGTGTGAGCCACCAGGCCGGGCCATTATTTTTGTTTTTTGAGACAGAGTTTTGCTCTTGTCGCCCAGGCTGGAGTGCAATGGCACGATCTCGGCTCACTGCAACCTCTGCCTCCTGGGTTCAAGCGATTCTCCTGCCTCAGCCTCCTGAGTAGCTGGGATTAAAGGTGTCTGCCACCACACCTGGCTAATTTTTGTATTTTTGGTAGAGACGGGGTTTCACCATGTTGGCCAGGCTGGTCTTGAACTCCTGACCTTACGTGATCTGCCTGCCTGGGCCTCCCAAACTGCTGGGATTCCAGGAGTGAGCCACCGTGCCTGGCCTATAAGTACTTTAGAAACATCTGTTAAATTTCATGCAATGAAGTATTTGCACAACTATTAAGGTGCTCGATAATTAAATGCTTTCATTTTAAATGCTTACATACTCCTTAAAAAAGACCTCAAAGACCTTTCTACAAGCCAACATTATTTTGTTACATATAGTTTGTTACTTAGTATGTACTTGGAAAAACCTGCCTTAAAAAGAATCAATGTAAATGTTACACTGATTTAAATAATGCTTTCCACATTTGGTCTAAATTGTTAAGGTTTTACTGCAGGTATTTTCAATTTCCCAGATCCTGAAATACCCTTTAAGAATAACATACTCAACATTTTAATAACATATTCCCTTTTCCATACTCTCAAAATGGTTTGATGAGTTACCTTAAAAATTATACAGGCCTACTCTTGCAGGTGACTTCGTATTCTTTTGCTTTCTACCCTAATATACCCACAGTGTCCCCATTTCGGACTAAGCACTTTTTTTCTTCATTTTTTAAAATTGTGGTAAAACATACATAAAATTCACCATTTTAACCTTTTTGTTTTTTGGTTAATCTTCCCTGTATCATTCCAATTTTAGTGCACGTGCTCCTGAAGTAAGCACTAGCCATTACGAAGTGTACAATTCTATGGCATTAAGAACATCACATCATTGTGCAAGCATCACCACCATTCATCTCCAGAACTTTTTCATCTTCCCCAACTGAAACTGTACTCATTAAGTACTAACTCCCCACTCTCCCCAGCCCCTAGACCTGGCAACCACCATTCTACTTCTATCTCTAGAAATGTGACCACTCTAGGTACCTCGCAGAAGCGAAATCATGAAGTATTTGTCCTTTTGTGACTGGCGTATCTCACTAAGCATAATGTCTTCAAGGTTCATTCATATTGTAGCATGTGTCAGAATGTCTCTCTTTTTTTAAGAGACTGGGTCTCTGTCACCCCAGGCTAGAGTAAAGTGGCATGATCATAGTTCACTGCAGTCTCGAACTCCTGGACTCAAGTGATCCTCCTGCCTCAGCCTCCTGACTAGGTGGGACCACAGGTACGCACCACCATGCCCAGCTAATTTTTCTTTTTCTTTTTCTTTTTTTTTTTTTTTTTTTACAGGTGGAGTCTTGCTATGTTGTCAGGCTGGTATCAAACTCCTGGCCTCAAGCAATTCCCCTGCCTCAGCCTCCCAAAGTACTGGAATTACAGGTATGAGCCACCACACCTGGCCATAATCAAATTAATATGTCCTTAGTATTTGAAAAAAGTCACCTGCCAGGAGTGGGACTGTGTAATTTTTAAGGGAACTCATCACACTCTTCTGGGACTGAACTAGACTGGGTAAACAGAGCTTGCTTTAACAATACCGATGTCTTCAGATGCCTAGGCTTCTGCCTGTCACATAGTTGAGCTTGTGGCAGAAAACAAAAAACAAATTTAACCGGGAGACAGACACTGAAGGTTCAAGTTTCAGTTACCCTTTACTATAGAGAAGCCAAAAAAAAATCTTCTCTTGGACTCTATTTATAGTTGACCCTTGAATATTATGAGTTTGAACTGTGTGGGTCCACTTATATGCGGATTTTTTTTCAACAAATCTACTGGAAATTTTTTTGGAGGCTTGTGACAATTTGAAGAAACTCAGATAAACCACATAGCCCAGAAATATTTAAAAAAACCTTAAAAGTTAGTTATGTCATAAGTGCATTATACATAGAGAATAGTCTACTTTATCATTTACTACCATAAAATATTCACAAGCCTAGTTAAAATGTAACGTTAAAATTTATCAAAACATGCACATACAACACATGGTGTTGGATCTGCAGTTGGATCATAACTGCATAAAATTAACTACAGTACATACTATTCTATGTCACAGTTTCACAGCTATCTCTTGTTGCTACTGCAGTCTCCTCAAGTGTTGCAAGTTTGCTTAAAATGCTCTATGATGCGGCCAGGCACGTCTGTAATCCCAGCACTTTGGGAGGCTGAGGCAGGTGGATCACTTGAGGTTAGGCGCTCGAGACCAGCCTAGCCAACATGGTGAAACCCCGTCTCTACCAAAAATACAAAAAAATTAGGCATGGTGGCTTGCGCTTGTAGTCCTAGCTACTCAGGAGGCTGATGCAGAAGAATCACTTGAACCCGGGAGGCAGGGGTTGCAGTGAGCAGAGATCATGCCACTGCACTCCAGCCTGGGCAACAGAGTAAGACTCTGCCTCAGGAAAAAAAAAAAAAAAAGCTCTATGATGCTAGTTGTTTCAGTGTGAGTAGTTTGTTGCTCCAGTAAATTGCCTGTTGCAATAAAAAGTGATCTGTCTTGGTTTTTGAGTATTTTTTATCCTATTTAGTGCAATATTGTAAACCTTGAGTAACACCATGGGAGTCATACAAAATGCCACTAGAGATGCTGGAAGCATTCCCAAGAAGCAAAGTTGTGACATTACAAGAAAAAGTAGAACGCTTGATGAGTACCTTAGATGGAGCTCTGCAACTGCGGCTGCCCATCATTTAAACATGAATCCACCATAAAGACCATTGTAAAAATAAAATCAAATAAAAGGAAATTCACAAAGCTGTCACTGCAGTAGCGATACCAGCATGAAAACCTTGCATATTTTGTGAAGTGCCTTTTGTATTGCCGATGCATCTTTTATGTGAGTGCAGGATTGTACAAGACTATAGACTCTAATATGATTTGAGAAAAAATGATGTCACTATATGATAACTTAAAGCAAAAAGAAGGTGAAGAATCTAAAGTTGGAGAATTTAATGCGAGCAAACAATGGTTTGATAATTTTAGAAAGAGGTTTGGCTTTAAAATTACAAGATAACAGAGAAGCAGCTTCTGCCAACCAACAGGCTGCAGACGAGTTCCCAGAGGCCATTAAGAAAATCACTAATGAGAAAGGGCCAGGTGCAATGGCTCACACCTGTAATCCCACACTTTGGGAGGCTGAGGCAGGAGGATCTCTTGAGCCCAGGAGTTTGAGAACAGCTTGGGCAACCATAGTGAGACACTATCTCTACAAAAAATTTTTAAAATTAGCCAGGCATGATGGCACACACACACCTGCAGTCCCAGCTACTTGGGGGTGGCCTGAAGTGGGAGGATCACCTGAGCCCAGGAGGTCAAGGCTGCAGTGAGCCATCTGCAATCGAGCCACTGTAATCCAGCCTGGGTGGCAAAGTGAGACTGTCCAGAAAAAGAAAAAATTATTAAGGAGAAAGGACATCTGATCTGCCTGTACAGGTTTTTAATGAGAATAAAAGTGCCTGATTCTGGGGAAAAAAATGCCACAAAGGACATTTATTTATAAGAAAAGAGAAGCAAGCATCAGGATTTAAGGCAGGAAGGGACAGGCTAACTCTACTGTCTTGTGCCAATGCAGTAGGGTTTATGATCAGAACTGTCCTTAACTATAAAGCTGCTAACCCCGGAGCCTTGAAGGGAAAAGATAAACACCAGCTGCCAGTCTTGTGGTTGTAGAAGGTCTGGACAACGAGAACCCTCCTGGTTCCGTCCATGTTCTGTCCCCAGGGTAAGGAAGTACCTTGCCAATACAGAACTGCTTTTAAAAAAAAAAGAGAGATAGGGCATTACTCCATCGCCCAGGCTGGAGTGCAGTGGCACAATCATAGCTCACTGCAGCCTCGAACTCCTGGGCTTAAGTGATGTGACTGTGTCAGCCACCTGAGCAGCTAGGGCTGCAGGCTCAAGCCACGTGCCTGGCAGTAAAGTACCTTTTAAAGTTGTTTTGATTCTGGACAATGTCTCTCTTTGGCCACCTATGAACCCTATGAGTTCAACCCTATAAAGGTGTCAAGGTGGTTTACTCGTCCTCAAACACAACATCTCCAATTTAACCTCTAGATCGGGGGTCACAGAGGACCTTTAAGATTCAGCACACATGGCACTCTACGCAGTGGTCCCCAACCTTTTTAGCACCAGTGAGCGGTTTCGGGAAAGACAACTTTTGCGTGGTGTGGGGTCGGGTGGGAAGGTTTCAGGATGAAACTGTTCCACCTCAGATCATCAGGCATTAGACTCTCATAAGGAGTGGGCGACCTAGAGCCCGCGCATGCACAGTTCACAATAGGGTTCACACTCCTATGAGAATCTAATGTCACCATTGATCTGACAGGAGGTGGAGCTCAGGCACCTGCCACGTGGCCTGGGGTGTGGGGATCCTTGCTCTATGGAAAAGACTGTCAACCCTCATGGAGAACATCATGAAAGTCTGGAAGGGTTTCACCACTGTGTATGCCATTGTTGTTACAGAAAAAGCTAAGAAAGCTGTCAAGTCTCAAACAATGAATTCCTGCTCGAGAAAACTGTATCCAGATGTTACGCATGACTTCACGGGATTTACGACAGTGCCAATCAAGGAACTAATGAGATTGTGGATTATTTGGTGGGGGTGAAGGGTTTCAAGATATGGATCCTGAAATTCAAGAGCTAACAGACATCACACCAGAGGAATTAACAGAAGATGATTTGATAGAGATGAGTGCTTCTGAATCAGTGCCAGAGGATACGGAAGAATATGTAGAAGAAGCAAAGCCAGGAAACAAATTGACACTAGACAATCTGACCAAGAGTTCTATTTGAGACTGCTTGGCTTATTTTACAACATGGACGCTTTTATGATATGGACACTGAAACTAAACAGTAGAAGGAAGATTATTAGTACCACATAGAAGCATCTTAAGAGAAACGAAAAAGCACAAAAGTTAGGCATAAATTATGATGTATTTTTGTAAAGTTACACCAAGTGAGCCTGCCTCTCCTTCTATCGCCTTTATCACCCAAGACAGTGAGACCAACCCCTCCTCCTCCTCAGCCTGCTCAATGTGAAAGACCACCAGGATAAAGATCTTTATGATGATCCACTTCCTTACGATTTTAACATTTTCTTTTCTCTAGCTTACTGTATTATAAGAACGCAGTAACATAATACTTGTAACATACAAAACATGTAGTTAATCAATTGTTTATATTACCTGTAAGGCTTTCAGTCAACAGGAGGCTACCAGTAGTTAAGTTTTGGGGGGCTGGGCACAGTGGCTCATGCCTATAAATCCCAACACTTTGGGAGGCCAAAGTGGGAGGATCACCTGAGCCCAGGAGTTTGAGATCAACCTGGGCAACATAGCGAGACCCTGTCTTTAAAAAAAAAAAAAAAAAAAAAAAAGTGCTGGGATTATAGGTGTGAGACACCGCACCCAGCCAGTGTGTGCTTTAGCAATAATTTCTGACACTTTAAATTTATACTTAATATGCTTTTCTGTATGTATATTACACTGTAATAAAATATTTTAAAAATAAACACATATTAATAATGTTGTTTGGGGGTGCCTGTTAATCTCAAAGTAAAACAAGTTACTTCCTAAGTGATGTTAACAATATTGAATTAAAAATGACAATTTAGGAGGTGGGCAGATCACCTGAAGTCAGGAGTTCAAGACCAGCCCGGCCAACATGATGAAGCCCTGTCTCTACTAAAATACAAAAATTAGCCATGCTTGGTGGCGCATGCCTGTAATCCCAGCTACTCAGGGGGCTGAGGCTGGAGAATCACTTGCACCCAGGAGGCAAAGGTTGCCGTGAGCTGAGATTGCACCATTGTGCTCCAGCCTGGGCGACAAGAGCGAAACTCCGTCTCAAAAAAAAAAAAAAAAAAAAAAGACAACGACGACAACTGATCATCGTTGCTTAGGATAAAAAAAAGAATGAGGAAAGACCTCTGGAGTTTAAAAAGTATCTCTAATGGGAAAGAAAGAACGCCACATCCTGTAAATATTTTTTGCAAGATAAGGATTGAAGAAAAAGAACTACAGAACACAAGCAGAAATTAAGTTTTCTTGAAATTAAAAATAAAATTTAATAAACACAATCCCAGCACCCTAAGCCATTCATAATTTTGATTTCAGCATATTCTTCCCTTTGTATAATACATATAAATATGTATAAGCTATCAAAACATAAAAATATATATAACTATACATATAAAACAGTACATACAGTATATATACAATACATATGCTGATATATAAGTTTTAAGTATATGTAGTATAAGTTGCTTGTGTTTTTTTACCTTCTTAATGACTGTATAAGATTCATTTAGATTGATAACCTAAATAAGTTTTCCTATTTAAAATAAGGCAGACATGAACATATTTGTATATATGCTATTCAATGCTGTTTTAAAGAAAATTTGCTAGTGTAAGAGTCTGAATTAAAGTTTATTAAGAACTTTATAGTTCACTCCATGTTGCCATACAGATTTTTTTTTAAAAAAAGAGGACTGTTTGTAACGTCCCCAGTAAATTACCAAACCATTGCTAGGATTAGCTATTGTGTGTGTGTGTGTGTGTGTGTGTGTGTGTGTGTGTGTTTCCATTTCAGCAGGTATAAAACAGTATTTTAAAACTGTTGTTTCTTTGCCTAATTTCCTCATGTGAATTATGTTTACATCCTTTGCCTATCAGAAATCTTCCCATAAATTTGAGCTCTTTAGATTTATATAAACCACATTTTATATAACTTCAATTTTTCCCAGTTTGTTTGCCATTTAGTTTACTTTCTTCTGTAAATGAAATTTTAAGTTCTAAATATTCAAAGTCTCACTCAACTTGTTTTCTCAACAGAACACTAACAGAAAAAAAAATTAGTACAATTATTCAGATCCAAAAAAAGACAACAATAGCTTGCAAAAACAAGCATTTAAATAACGGTATTACAAAACAGACTCCAAAAATGCTAGGAAATCTTCGAAAGTTAGTGAAGTAGAAGAAACTGTCAGCAGGGGACACTGGATATGAAAGTCGGCATCTCTAAAGTGATGGCAGAATTAACATTAGTTGTGGAATAGCAAAACCCAAGGAGTGAGCCTGAGCTTAATCCCAGTACCATCATGAACTGTATGACCTCCTTTGAGGTCAGTATCCCTGCAGACAAAAATAGGGGCACCACCATTTACATGGCAGATCTGCCATGATGGTGAAAGCACCTGCTGGTTTCAGTTTTCCCCCACCCTCTTGGGTGACTGGTTTTCCTACAGCCTAAATCTGGTGCTGAAAACGTCACCGCTTCTCACTTTTACTTTGTTAGCTCATATGGTGCCACCTTAAGAAGACCTACTGGAACTTCTTGTTGCTTGTGACTTGCTCATTTGATAAGTTGTGACTGTGTCTGGAATGGGAAGCAAGATTTTGCTTCAAGGTGATTTAACTTTAATTGCACATTTCAAGAAATGGTTCTTTCTTTAAATGAAGATTCAACTTATATAGATTGACACAATATAAGACTTCGAAGCCTGATATCGTTACTGAACAATTAAAGTAAGACTTAACAATAAAAGCAATTACAAGTAAGCAAAAAGTAACTTTTAGAAAACAAATTTTTATTTTACTCAGTAAACCTCTGACTATAATATTCCACATCCCTTTATAGGCAGAAAAAGACAAAGTTGAAGCTTGTTTATATCTTAAATTACATCAAAGGAAATTAAGGCATAATTTTTTCAAGCAGAATTTGCCTGCATTATCTAAGACTACTATAGAATTTGAATTGAACAGAATAGTGAACTCCAAAGCAGACTGTGTAAAAACCCCGCTGAGATATGGAAAAAATGAATTTCTATATTTATTTCTATTACAATAAGACTAACATTTGAGGGTAAGGCACTGGGTTAAGCACTTTACATTTATTAATTCATTTAATATTTAAACTAAGGCACAGATATAATGAATAATTCACTGAAAATCACAACTAATAAAGTTTGCTAATAAGCAGCAGACAAGATTCAAACCCAGGCAATCTGGCACCAGATTAACCACTAAACTATAATCCTTCTCAAATGATAGGCTTTAGCAATATTTACTGTCATATTTTCAATAATTCCCAAAACACATTTTTTACATTTTCACATCTCTGAAAAAGAACATGTCTTAAAAGGATGGCATCTTATAATCATAGCTGGCAGTATTTTTTCTTCCTGGATAGTACATCTTAGAATCAACAGTGTCTTCTTTTCATTAAGATACACATATGTACTCACTAGGCCTGCTAAATTAGACCTTCATAAGTTGTGCCCTATATTCAAGGTATCCTGAAAGAATGGGAAGTCCACAATGATCGAAGATGACAGTGGTGTTTAAAACAGCTGAATGCTGTGGTGCAATGTACTGAGATTTATCTATACTTAGTTATGTGGATTTATGGATTCTATCCAGTTTTAATTTAACCCTCAAAAATTGGTATCTGACAAATGGTACCTGTAGAAACCACTCATTAAAGACATAAGTACTGGTGGGGCATGGTGGCTCTCACCTGTAATCCCAGCACTCTGGGAGGCAGGCAGATCACTTGAGCCCAGGAGTTTGAGACCAGCCTGAGCAATATACTAAAACCCCATCTCTACAAAAAATACAAAAATTAGCTGGGTGTGGTGGCCTGAGGTGGGACAATCATTTGAGAGCAGGAGATGGAGGCTGCAGTGCGCTGTGATCGTGCCACCGTACTCCAGCCCAGGTGGCAGAATGAGATCTTGTCTCAAAAATAAACAAAAAAAGACGTAAGCACTAATGCAAAGTATAAACAATAAGAAAATAACAGCACTGAGTCATCTAAAAAAATAAAACCCCCCTCAATGATGGTTTGATCGGTCCTGACAATTGGATAAAAAAATAGAAATGCTAGACTATCTGAATATGGCTTTATATAAACCTCACTTTAAGTGGACATTGAGTTTTGAGAATTATCTAATGATAGTAGTACATCCATATATGAATTACAGACATATATCTGAAGTATGTTTGAATTCTATTTTTAAAAATTCCTTGGTAATATTTACGTAAAATAACATCCTCTCACAACTGGGGGATGGGTAGGAGTCAAACTATCATCGCATTTTACACAACGAAGACACCTATAAAAGGTAGGGTTCATTCTCATTATTCTCTGATTCTTTCTTTGCAAGTTTACCTACTTGCTAAAATGTGTAATCCCAAAACTAGCATTTGAGGTCCGTTAGCAGTTGCTCACAGACAGCCACAGAGCAGGGCAGATTCTGAGTTGCCCAGTGCACCGTTCACAGCCGAGGTAGCATGTTCCCAGATGGGGTCAAACAAGGCGACGCTCTGCTTTCTTGTTTCAGCTCTTGTACTGTAAACAAGTGTCCTTTTCGTGGCCTATTTAGGGTCCTTTCCTGCATTTTTGTTGGTGAATCTGGTGTGTAAAATGGCTCCCAAGTGTAAAGGGCTATTTGGTATTGGCTGAATTTGTGGAGGGGGCCAACTGTATATTTATTGTTTCTGTTCAAAGAGGATCTCATAAAGTTTGCATGACTTGTGACAAATAATAATGTATATTTGGTATGGTTTGAACGTTTGTCCTCTCTGAAACTCACGTTGAAACTTGATCTCCAATGTGGCAGTGTGGAGAGGCACAGCTTTTAAAAGGTGACTGGGTCATGAGGGCTCTGCTCTGATGAATGGATTAATCTATTCACGGATTAATGGGTTATCAAGTGAGTGGTTCTGGTGGCTTTATAAGAAGAGGAAGAGAGACCTGAGCTGGCACGCTCAGCTTCCTTGCCATGTGATGCCCTGCACCACCTTGGAACTCCACAGAGTCCCCACCAGCAAAAACGCTCTCACCAGATGCACCCTTAAGACCCTGGACTTCCAAGCCTCCAGAACCGTAAGAAATAAATTCAGTTTCTTATAAATTATCATTTCAGACATTCTGTTATGACCAACAGAAAACAGACTAAGACTATATTGTATTACTAGTAGAATTAGTTTATTTGCTTTACAGTCACATAACAAGGATCATTAAAAAACCCATCCTTTTTACCACTTGGAACCAAACATCATGAACTTCAATGAATTAGGGTTTGATAGTTCTCTTTAAAGACAGGACTGTAACTCTAACTCGACAGGTCAGTCCCTTTTAAGTGAATCTACCCTGCCACAGATACTACAGAAGAGGCAGCCCTATGCAGTTGAGTCAGTCTAGTATAGTGGCTTTTGAGGCAGAAAGACCTGAATGTAAATCCCAACCAATTACAGAAAGAAAGAGGCCAATCCATAGATTGGGCCCACGGGAAATTACAGCAGATCCAAGTTAAGAATAAACAGAAACTAAAGAAGCAGAGATAAAGAGTAACTCACTTGGTAAATGGACCAAAAGAAACTCACACTGGAGAACAGCTAAATAACATAAATGCCAGTAAGGACCACATTCCTGCTGCTGAAAACCCTGAAGCTACATTTGAGCCTTCTGTAGTTACGTTACTTATCTTTTAATTCCTTTTCTTTTCTTTCCTTTTTTTTTTTTTTTTTTTTTTTAAGAGATGAGGTCTCATTATGTTGCCCAGGCTGGTCTCAAACTCCTGGGATCAAGCAATCCTCCCACCTTGGCCTCTCCAAGTGCTGAGATTACAGGCGTGAGCCACCACGCCTGGATGTTATTTATCTTTTAACTAACTTGGTTCTCCTGCTTCAGTTATGTTCTGGTGAAATTCTGTCTTCTTAATTCCATGACCTACACATCACACTCCCCCAGCACTCCATTTAACGTGGCTTAGCCCAAAGAAGTTGGAAAATTGTGTGTGAGAGAATGTAAGATTCAAGCATCCATGAGCGTGGGAGTTGCTAGACAAAAACTAAGGTCCTTTCCAGCCCCAAAAGGCCACGATTCTAACCTATGAACCTACTCAATATTTCCTTCAAGGTAACACAAATCCCTAAAATTTACCACCACCAAGCAGTAGTTCCTTTTATGGTCCTAAATAAGATCCTTTATCCAGGAATGCCCTAGGTTCCTATATTCTGAGATTTCACAAACATCCTCATTTTAGCTTCTGACTACCAATTTCAATGGTAACTTTTCTTAAGCCTTATTTTCAGAAAGTAGAGTCCTTCTATTTTTAGTATCTTGCAACGCCCAAGCCCCCGTGCACTTCTAACCCACTACAGATACTGTACTGCAACATTTTCTCCGTGCATAAACGCCTACCTTTCTTTTTTTAAAGGCTAGTATATTGTTCCATTATACAAACGTACCGTAATTAATATTTCACCAGCTCTTACTAATGGACTTCCGGTCGTTTCCAATTATATTATAAATATTACATACAATGCTCAGGTCAACAACTTTTTACATGTGTATCTTTAGCGTATGCAAGAGCAACTAAATTACCACTGGGTCATTTCAAGTTGCTCCTCTTTGAACTGTTTTGAGCTTAGATCTATCTCTGAACAGGAACAAAAACTAGAAAGCACCCAAAACTCTGGTTGCAGATGCAGAAATACAGTGTGGCACAATGCTAATGGGGGAAATGGTCTCTTCTTTGACGGATCGCCTATTAGCTTGAGACTAGATCTTAAAGGGTTCCCAAAGCAAGAAAATACACTGTAATTATCGAAGAATTTTAGATACCTCAGAGATGAGGTTAAGAAATAGTAAAAGCTTAACAGTCGAAGATCTGAAGCTTCAATTTCATTCTTTGATGTTCCCGATTACAGAAAGTTCAAAGATGATGTTTAAAAATATTATATATGCCCAAATGCTTAAAAAAAAAAAAGGAAGCATGATAAACGTCATCGCCCAGCCTTCTTAAAGATCGCTCCCACCCGCGGCTAGCCGGGCAGGAGAAGAGACTCGAGCGGCACCCGAGCCGCATCCACGCCGCCCGCCCGCCCCTGGGGTCTGGGTAGGTAACGGGCCCGGCGGGAAGGAGGGGCTCCCAGGCCGTCCCTCCCAGCGCTCACCTCAGCTCCTCGTCGACATTCCCGCGGGGCTGTTCGGCCGACGCCACCATAGAGGAAGTCGTAGAGGTCTTGTTCTTCAAGATCCCCTTGATGGGCCGGTGCGAGGCCGTCGAGGCCGCCATTGCCGGGCGCTCCGGCTGTCGGCTCAGGGTCGCTGCTTGGCGTGGGGTCCGCGAAGAGAAGGGTCGGCACAGCAGAGACTCGCAGGCAGCCGCAGATCCCGCTCAGGGCTAAAGCGGCCGCAACTGCTGCCTCGGAAACGGCTACCGCAGCGGTTGTCACGACACAACGACCCCGACGCCAGAGCCAACGCCGAACGGGTGGCGGCTACTCGCGCACCCTTAGCCACTGGCACTTGACCCGCGGCTCGCGGAGAGACGCCGGCCTAGAGCTCCAGCGCAGGAGCGACGCGACGCCGAAGCCAAGCGGACCCGCCCTCTCGCGATATCTAGGGAGGAGGCGGGGAGAGGGCGGGGCGAGAACAAAGCCGACCTCCTCGCCCCGCCCCCTCCGTCCCGCCCGGGCTGCTCGCCCCGCCCCCGCGCGGCGCTGGGAGGCGGGAGCTGTCTCTGAGAACCTGCGGGAGAGCGCCCGGGCTTGCTGCTTCCCGGACCCGCGCGTCTCTCGAGCACCCTCGTCCCACCACCTTGTGAGGCCGTAGTGTTATTTTTATTTTTTAGATCAGCAGACTGAGACTCGAGGTGACGTCACTCCGCAGAGAGGTTAGCTGACTTGAAGAAAACGGGTATCTCCTCTTTCCATTTCGCCCGTGTAAACAGCCGAACTGCCTATTATAAAAGCATGGACTGCCAGCATTGGAGTGGTCCTTAGAGGCCTATTATGAAATCATAGAATGTCTGCATTGGAATCGCCTCACCTCCTTTTACCGCTGGAGAAGCCGACGGACAGACGGGCAGCGACCCCCGCCGTCGCACAACCCGTCTAGGCAGAGAGCGCAGGAGACGGGAGGGCGGCAGGGACACATCTCCCAGCCAAGGACCTCCTGGGCCCGCAGAGGCCGCGACAGGTTCCCCCCACAGAGGGAACCAACTCTGCCGCAGGTTGATGTGGACTTCAAGCCTGCAGAACGGAGAGCCCATTTCCATTGCTTAAAGCCACCTCGTGTGTGGTATTTGTTATGGTCCCTGTACACTCCCTTCCCTCCCTCTCCCAAGTCCAGTCCGCAGCTCGCTCATCACCAGGCTCTTTTCCATGACTCTTTCTTGATCAGGCCTTTTTATCGTCCTCACCACAGGTTAGAGCACAGCAGACTGAGCCACCCAGAACTGGCCCCTCCGGTGGACCAGCCCCTGCGGATTCACAGACCACTGGTCCTGGAAGGGACCTTGTCAAGCAGGCCCATAAGGTGGCTATTCAGCCTGTTTCTCCAACAACCCCAGGGGCTAGAAGCCCGCCACACCCCCGTGTAACTCATTTTGTTTTTGGACAGCTCTGACTCTGGGAGTTCTTAGATTGAGCTGACACCTCGCTCCCAGCAATGTCTGTCCACTGCTGTGGGGGGTGAGAGGAAGCGTTTTCCCCTATCTAGCCCCTATAGCAGCAGTTTCACTCCCATGGCTCATCTCTGGACCACAGTCTCATCTTCTTTAACACAGGCTCTGTGCCTTTTGAGGATGACCCTGTTCTGTGTCCTTAGGACTCTGCCCCTCAGGGATGACTGTAGGGTTCTGAAAACGATTGTTTTTATCGTCTGGCCCCGAGCCCCTAGCTCCTAGATGAGTTCCTGGCACAGAACAGGGCCTCAGTATGGGAATGGATGTGGATGGAGATAATGGAGGGGAAGTGAGCTGGAAGGGGAGAAGGGAAACAGGGTTGCTGGTCACAGAGTGGAATGTGTTCCCCAGGGATTTGCCTCAGCCAGGGGCCTGCACAGTCACTGTTGGCACTGTCCCCACCTTTGTTCCCAGTCAAATATCCACTGGTGCCGTCTCTCCCTCCCAGGCCAGGACTGCTCAGTGGATCTAACATTACACCCTGACAGCCCTGTCCAGCCCATGGAGCAGAGAGAGAGGGTTCTCAGCGAGGGGAAGCAGGATGGCCACCTCCCTTCCCTTCCTGAGTTCTTTCCACCCCAGTGTTCAACACCTGTGTTGCGTCTCCTGCCCTGTCAGCAGGAGTCTAGGTCAGTGATGGCAATCCTGTTTTCAAGGGAATACACAAACTTCCCTGTATGTTCCAAATTATTGGGCAGATTTGCTTTGTTCCTGCTTGGGCTGGGAAGCATCACTGAGTTCAGCATCCCTGAACTCAACTGTGACTGGGCCCTTGATTAAGCAACAGCTTGCTTTCAGACCCTCTAATGAAAGGGACTACGATCGTATGACATAAAGTGTTTTATTAGTTAATTAACTAACAAACATTGGAACAGGAGGTGATGAAGAGTTCTCTGAAGAACCTTGGAAACATATTTCCCTCATCAAGAGTTAAACTTTTGTCTCCTGTACTGGTTCTTCCACTCCCAAACCCACAACAAATGAATGCAGATGAAGATGACTTTGGTAGCACTTAAAAAAAAATAGTTTGTAAAATTGTGAGGGCCAGTACTGCTTTTTTTTTTTTTTTTTTTGAGACAAAGTCTTGCTCTGTCGCCCAGGCTGGAATGCAATGGCACAATCTCCACTCACTGCAACCTCTGCCTCCTGGGTTCAAGTGATTCTCCTGCCTCAGCCTCCCGAGTAGCTGGGACTACAGGTGCCTGCCACCACACCCAGCTAATTTTTGTATTTTTAGTAGAGATGGGGTTTCATCATGTTGGCCAGGCTTGTCTCAAACTTCTGACCTCAGGTGATCTGCCCGCCTCAGCCTCCCAAAGTGCTGGGATTATAGGCATGAGCCACCACACATGGCCTGCTTTTCCTTATCTTTCAGAATAGTTGAACTACTTTATTCCTCAGTGTGGCCCAAATAAGATTTTCAAATGCCTCTAAACAGAGCTCTCCTTCTGTGCCTCTGCTGAGGTTTGCTCCTGTAGGAAGTTATCTGGACCAAACAGCCCGAGCACTGAATTTAGCTGTATTGCTGTTACATTTCCTGTGTGTTGAGGGTTTGGCTGCCAGGAGGTGAATTGTAGATAGAATCTTTCATTCTGGTTTCAGTTTCTGGAAGTAGCTATTGAGCTCAAGGCAAATCATATATTTAAAGATATATACATGATTTAAGGATAATCTGGCATTTATCTCTGCTCTCTTTTTGAAGACTTCATTATCATGGTTGCCTGACCCAACACAACATATTTGGAGGAGGAGAGGGGACACTTTTATTGTACCCCATCACGTGGCTGAGTCATTTGGCTCTCCATTCACTGGAACAGACGACTATGGACACCACCATTGGGTTTCCCACCAAGGACAGAGTTCCAAAGCAACAGTGGCTTCCATGGTTGGCTCACCCAGCCTGCCTGAGTCATCAGCTAGGTCCACAGAGTAGAGAAGTGGGTAGTGCCCCCGCCTAACATCTGGAAAAATTCCCAAAAGTTGTGACTTCATGACCACTGAGTCAGCAGCAACTCTTTTCTTGCCAAGAATAGCACATTGTTCTTTTCCTTTTCAGGTAATCCCTCCCCGGAAAGAGAAGATCACAGATTTTGTCATATTAAATACATTGTAGAAATTCATGGTAGCAGGGGCAAGATCATTTAAACAAAACAGAAAGTTTCAGAGAGAGAAAAAGCCAAGGACAAAGATTAATCATTTTTCTGCTTAAAAAAAATGGCTTTGATTTGCAACCATGGAATGCTCCACTGTTTCTCTTCTCTTCAAAGACATCTACTGAAAGGATTCCTTAACCTTACCAAGTGGCCAAAATACTTTTCTGAGAAGAGTCACAGAGCATAGGCCCCCCTAGGGTACACAGAGATTTCATTAGTCCCTAGATGTTTCCTGATCCTTTTAAAAACTGGTTAAATTCAGAGACTCTAGGCAATTACTTCTTTCAGAACCTGTGAGGCAAAAACGAAAGAAGAAGGCAGGACACGCAGTGTAACAAACCTTGGAATGGTAAGTAGGAAATATGAGTTAGTTTTTTGGCTAAGCTATGAATTTACCTTGTGCCTGCCAGAAATCACTCAGTCTTTTGTGACTGTAAATTTTCTGTAAGTGTTAATTGGTTTGGTTTATTATTGCAAGAAGCAAGGGAGCAATGTTGTGTATTATAATTTCATTGTGTCAATTTTGCCAAATTATCTTGCATTTTGTTATTCTATGAACTCATAATGGGATAAGGAGTATAGGCTTTGATTCAGAACATATGTGATGTTGCTATAAATGCTTCATGGAAAACCCTAAATATATTTTGAAGCCTACATAGTCAAAAGTCACCATTGGAAGACTTTTTTACTTTACTATTGTATTTATGCTCGTTAGCACTCATTCTTGTTTGAAACGTCTCAAATGCGTAATTTTATTATTTTATTTGTTGTCTCCAGATTGGTCTGAGGACTCCGCTTTCTTCACTGCCCATTCATCTTCATACTGTTCTCATATTTTTTTTTAAATTGGGATATGCAATGATCCTTAGTTTATAAATTCAACTCCACTTTGCCACACACAGTGTTACGCTTGGGGAAACAATTAGAACTTGCCCTTCTTGGCCAGGCGCGGTGGCTCCCGCCTGTGATCCCAGC
Organism: Homo sapiens; assembly: GCF_000001405.40. NCBI lineage: Eukaryota > Metazoa > Chordata > Mammalia > Primates > Hominidae > Homo > Homo sapiens. Next base: position 195,547,546 of record NC_000003.12, read on the forward strand.
ACTTTGGGAGGCCAAGGTGGGCAGATCACGAGGTCAAGAGATGGAGACCATCCTGGCCAACATGGTGAAACCCCGTCTCTACTAAAAATACAAAAATTAGCTGGGCATGGTGGCGCGCGCCTGTAGTCCCAGCTATTTGGGAGGCTGAGGCAGGAGAATCGCTTGAACCCGGGAGGCAGTGGTTGCAGTGAGATTGCGCCGCTGCACTCCAGCCTGGTGACAGAGCAAGACTCCATCTCAAAAAAAAAAAAAAAAAAAAAGAACTTGCCCCTCTTTTTTTTTTTTTGCTCAAGGAACTCAGTCTGCCGTGGTTGCTCATTGTCTAGGATGAAGTCCAAATCCCTTGGGCCTTCACAATCCAGCCCTGTCTGTTCTTCTAGTCTCCTTCTCTTTTTACATCCACTTGCTTTCTGCTATGTTCTTCACACTAGTCACACTGCCCTTCTCAGGGTGTCAGAGCAACCTATATTCTGTCCCTTTTTCATGCCTTTACTAATCTATGTGAAATACCATCCCCTATTCTTGCTTTTAAATTACCCCAGTTCAAAGGTCATCTCCTTCTCCGACTCCACGCAGGCCGAGTTAGTGTTCACCTTCACTGAGATCCTAAGGAGCTGTTTGCATTCCTCTATCTCATTGTATCATCATTGTCTAAGTGTCCGTCCCTCTGCTGTGGCCTCTTTGGGAGCAGGTGCATGTCTTCCTCCTCTTTCTCCCCTGACAGCATAACTTAATGAATACAGTGTCTGCCGTAAGAGGCCCTCGATACATGTTGGTTATGTAAATCAAAGAAAATGACCAAGGCGAGTCTCGATGATTTGGGTTTATTTGCCAAGGTTAAGGATGCACTCAGGAAAGAACACAGATCCACAGGAAGAACTGTGCTCCATGCTTTTTCCAAAGAGGGTCTGGGGACCTCAATATTTAAAGGGAAAAGAATGAATATTGGAGAAAGAGAAAGAAAGTTTTTTTTTACAAAGGGTGTGGGTGGATAAGAGGCAAGCAGTTGCATTCTTTTGAGTCTTTGATCAGCCATTTACATGTGAGAGGGTGGTAGAGGTACAGTCACTTACACATTCAATGAATCTGCATTTTTTACATAACATAAACATAGGGCAGAGGAAGCAATCAGATATGCCTTTGTCTCAGGTAAGCAGAGGGATGTCTTTGATTTCTGTCCTTTGCCCCATACCTGCAAAGATAAGCTATCAGTATACATTGCCAGGGTGAGATTCAACAGAACTGTTTTAGAGTAAAGATCTGGGAGCCCACAGGAATTACCCTGTGGGCAAATTGTGAGGGAGGTCTGTAGCTTTATTATCTTGTAGCTATCTATTTAGGAACAAAATGGGAGGCAGGTTTGCAAGACCCAGTTCCCAGCTGGACTTTTCCCCTTTGGCTTAGTGAGTTTAGGGTCCCAAGATTTATTTTCCTTTCACAGTTGAATCAGGGAATAAATGAGTTAACTGTTCCTAAATTCGACCTCCCCAATAATGGTGTCCATAACAACATCAATTTCTTGGAAAGCAATCTGACTATATATCTTGTTCTGCATGGCTAAGGAAGGCATTAGCAGCTATAATGCTGGAAAGGAAATAATAGAAATAAGAAAGACTGCTGAGTCAATAGAGAATGCATTACAAAGAGGAAATTGTCCTGTCACCAGTCAGAAATCTTAATTGAGGTCTGTTATGTGCCAGGTCCTTTTCTAGGTATTGTCTATTGCTTAGTTTATTGCAGAAATAAACTACAGCAGGTACTGTATTTCCTCTTTTCATTTTAATTTAATTTAATTTAATTTTTTTTTGAGGTGGAGTCTCGCTCTGTCACCCAGGCTGGAGTACAGTGACGTGATCTCGGCTCACCACAAACTCTGCCTTCTGGGTTCAAGAGATTCTCTTGCCTCAGCCTCCCAAATAGCTGGGATTATAGGTACATGCCACCATGCCCAGCTATTTTTTGTATTTTTAGTAGAGATGGAGTTTCACCATGTTGGCCAGGCTGGTCTCGAACTCCTCACCTCAGGTGATCCACCCGCCTCGGCTTCCCAAAGTGCTGGGATTACAGGTGTGAGCCACCACGCCTGGCCTCCTCTTTTCATTTTAGGTTCAGAACCCTTTCTTTAAAAAGTTCATTGTTAGGCCGGGTGCAGTGGCTCATGCCTGTAATCCTAGCACTTTGGGAGGCCAAGGCAGGTGGATCACCTGAGGTCAAGGGTTCGAGACCAGTCTGGCCAACATGGTGAAACCCTGTCTCTACTAAAGATACAAAAATTAGCCAGGCATGGTGGCAGGCATCTGTAATCCCAGCTACTCGGGAAGCTGAGGCAGGAGAATCCCTTGAACCTGGGAGGTGGAGGTTGCAGCAAGCTGAGATCACGCCATTGCACTCCAGCCTGGGTGACAAGAGTGAAACTCTGTCTCAAACAAGACAAAACAAAACAAAACAAAGTTTGTTATTAGATACGCACATACACACACAAGTCCACCCCTCATTTCATGTGTCTCTCCCAGCTCTGGCTCTGGGCTCCAGGAGAACGCTGTTGCTGTTTTCACAAAGGCATAGCTTCCTGTGTTCATCAAGTGTACCTGTGTTATCAGGTGTTTTTATCAAGTGGTTCTCTAGACAGGACTCAAGACCCTCTTTGCGCTCCCGTGGCTGAGGCAGGTGGGGGGAATCCCTTAGTAGGAACCACAAGGCTCTCACAGGATAAACTGCTGTCTCGTTGGTTTCTCCCCCAAGGACTTCGCCAGACTTCATCAGAAGAAAGCAGTGCAAGAGGGGACTGCAGAGGAAAGCTGGGGCTTGGGAAACCAGCAGCAGGGGCCACGTGGGCAGGTGGTTTCTGTGTGAACCTCTGATCTGTGCAACATAAACAGGAAATGTTGAAGGCTTCCAGTGCTCTTTTTTGATGTCGAGAACATTCTACGGCACAAAAGAGTTTGCCTCTCACTGTTTCTCATATATGGAGGTTTTCTAATCAGCATCCTGAACAGAATTGAATTAAAAATAAAAACCAAAGTAAAACTAGCTTTATCTCTAGATTTTAAAATTTTCATTTTTTTTAGGGTGGCACCTATACTGTTACCTTGTAGGTACCAACTAGAATATTCTTTCTAACTGCCTGTCATTCATGGTTTACCTACTTGGAAGCTTAACCCTGTCCAAGACTGGACCCTAGTCAACACAAATTTTATCTTAATTTTATGAAGGTCTTTCCCACCCCTAATATTCTGGCATTCTTAAATATGCTGCTCAGCTGTGCTTGTCAAAGGCAATTGCGTTTGCTACATTTCAGAAGAGAGTCCAGACAGAGCCCATTTGGCTCTGTGCTAGGAACGGCTGCAGTGCAAGACTGTGGAGCTCTGTGGCTGACCACAGCTGAAACTCACTTTGATCTTGCTAGATGCCGCCAAGTTGGAAAAAATTAACTAAGACTGCAGGGTCAAAGAGAACGCATAAAAGCATTAACTGCTTTTGTTTCATGTTTCCTCTCCCTCCATAGAGAGACAGAGAAATTAAGAAAATTGCTGGATGTGGTTGCTCACACCTGTAATCCCAACACTTTGGGAGGCCAAGGTGGGTGGATCACCTGAAGTCAGGAGTTTGAGACCAGCCTGGCAACATGGTGAAACCCTGTCTCTACTAAAAATAGAAAAATTAGCCAGGCGTAGTGGCGCGCCCCTGTAGTCCCAGCTACTTGGGAGGCTGAGGCTGGAGAATTGCTTGAACCCAGGAGGCAGAGGTTGCAGTGAGCTGAGATCATGCCACTGCCCTCCAGCCTTGGCAATAGAGTGAGACTCAGTCTGGAAAAAAAAAAAAAATTAAGAAAATTTATACAGAGTGGGCAGGAACAAAATCTTCTGGTGAATCAAGTCTGCAGGCTTATTAAATGTGACAGTATGCTTCTTGAAGGATTAGAAATAAAATACGATTAAGTCAATGCTGTAATAGCTCTAAGCAGAACCAAGCACAGTGTCTTTTCCTCCCCCTCACAAGTACTGAACTCTTCTTTCAATCTTTTCAGCTCTGGGACTAGGCCAAGCCCTTCCCTCCTGGGACAGCTGCTTTAGGAGCCAACCAAGCAAGCCCAGCCAGTTCTCAGGGAGTATAATGGCATGGCGGACAAGTCCTTTCTCACCCAAGGCCAGTCTGCTCACCAGGCCTCCCATCCCTGTCACCCTCGGGCCCCTGAACGTGCAGCCTCTTTCCCCACTGTCATCTTCCAGCCTCTCGTGTAGCTTCTCCTCGGCAGCCCTGCCTGCTGGGCATGCCAGCCTCCATTCCTCACAAACTGCTTATGTGCAGGGTGATACTCAGGATATTTGAGAACCAAAATGGTGTGGGCAGGCCCCAACCAAGCAGGAAGGAAAATGGCTATCATGCAGGCATGGCTCCATGTAATTCAGAGAAGCCTCTGCTACCGGGTGTTACCCCTTTAGTTTTCGGGCTCACTGGGGAGCCCCAGGGGTGGTCACGAGATGGGGAACATTCTGGAGACTTAAAAAAGAGTGGCCGTGCACAGAGTAGAACTGCTGTGTGTTGGTACACATCCGCCTGTCACATCAGCCTGTCTGAGACCCCAGATACCTTCCCAGAATGTTGCCTGCACTCCTCACCTTAACAGAAGGCTGGGTTTTCTGTCCCAGGCAACTCACAAATAGTGGCCGGCAGTTCTGTGCCATGGAGCCCAGCGCTGGGCAGGAGTTAGGATTCTGCTTGACTCCCAAGACGGCTGCTGCTGTTATCATCATTTCCTCCATTCTGACCCATGGCCCAGGGTAAAAATTTCTTGAGGCTCATGTCAATGACATCCCCCTGTGTGTGCCTTCCAGTGGCTGCCATCTAGTAAGCTCTTGCTGATCTCTAAATGGCATCAAGAACTTTGGTCCATATTTTTTCTCATTTAAGAAATATTTCTTAAGCATTCACTGTGCCAGACAACTTGCTGTATGTCCAGAGATGTATAAAACATGATTCTTGTCCTTAAAGGTAAGCTAACCTTTTTTTTTTTTTTTTTGAGATGGAGTCTTGCTCTGTCGCCCACGCTGGAGTGCAATGGTGTAATCTCGGCTCACCACAAACTCTGCCTCCCAGGTTCCAGTGATTCTCCTGTCTCAGCCTCCTGAGTAGCTGGGATCACAGGCGCATGCCACCATGCCCAGCTCATTTTTGTATTTTTAGTAGAGACGGGGTTTCACCATGTTGGCCAGGCTGGTCTCAAACTCCTGACCTCAGGTGATCTGCCCGTCTTGGCCTCCCAAAGTGCTGGGATTACAGGCGTGAGCCACCGCACCCAGATGTAAGCTCATAGTTTAATAAGGAAATATAAAACAAAGAATGACCAGACTAGGTGGTAAATGCCTAAGTGGACACAGTGTTTACAAACATAGAAACATGGACACGTGGAAATGATGATGTACTGGTTTCCTGTGGCTTAAAACAACAGAAATGTATATTCTCCCACAGTTCTGGAGGCTAGACATCTGAAATCAAGGTGTCAGCAGGGCCATCCTCCCTCTGAGACTCCAGGTAGGATCTTTTCCTGCCTTCTCCTAGCTTCCAGTCCTGGTCAGCGATCCTCAGTGCTCCCTGCTCTCTGCTGCATCACTCCAGTCTCTGCTGTCGGCCTGTGTTCTCCCATGTGTTTCTGTCTTCATGTGGTATCTTCCTTTTCTTATGAGGATATTAGTCGTATTGTATTAGGGCCTACCCTAATGAGCTCATCTTAATTCAATATGCAAAGACCCTATTTCCAAATAAGGTCACATTCCCAGGTACTGGGAGTTAGGACCTCAACATATCTTTTTGGGGGACACAGTTCAACCCATAACAGTGGGATAGTCAGGAGAGCAGGGGAAGGACCAGAGAAGGCTGGCCAGACAGGCTCGGCGAGCTGGTAAACAGGAGTCAGCAGGGCAGGGAGAATGGTGTTGTGTTGTCTGGAATGATGTATATAAACAGACTGGGGCCCGAGAGGGTGACACCTTTGGAAACTGCAAGGTGTTCAGTCTGACAGGCATAAAGGATCTATGCTCGGTAGTGGCAAAAGATAATCCTACAAGTTAGCAGGAGCCAAGTCATGAATCTCATCGTCTCCCCACACGAACGTGCCTGCACTCCTTTACTCCCCTTTTCTGGCTGACAGTAATCAGTCATCTCAAACCCCTACTTCCCCCTCACTTCCCACACGCAGTTGATCCCTCAGATCACTTGATTCTGCCTCCTAAAAATCTCCTAAATCAGGCTGGGCATGGTGGCCCATGCCTGTAATCCCAGCACTTTGGGAGGCTGAGGTGGGTGGATCACCTGAGGTTAGGAGTTCGAGACCAGCCTGGCCAACATGGTGAAACCCCATCTCTACTAAAAATACAAAAATTAGGCTGGGCGTGGTGGCCCATGCCTGTACTCCCAGCACTTTGGGAGGCTGAGGTGGGTGGATCACCTGAGGTTAGGAGTTCGAGACCAGCCTGGCCTACATGGTGAAACCCCATCTCTACTAAAAATACAAAAATTAGGCTGGGCGTGGTGGCTCACGCCTGTAATCCTAGCACTTTGGGAGGCTGAGGCGGGTGGAGCATGAGGTCAAGAGATCGAGACCATCCTGGCCAACATGGTGAAACTCCATCCCTACTAAAAAAAAAATGCAAAAATTAGCTGGGTGTGGTGGTGCACACCTGTAGTCTCAGCTACTCTGGAGGCTGAGGCAGAAGAATCGCTTGAACCTGGGAGGCGGAGGTTGCAGTGAGCCGAGATCGCGCCACTGCACTCCAGCCTGGCAACAGAGCAAGACTCCATCTCATAAAACAAACAAACAAACAAACAAACAAAACCAACAACAAAATCAAAAGTTAGCTTGGCCTGGTGGTGGGTGCCTGTAATCCCAGCTACTCCAGAGGCTGAGGTAGGGAGGATCTCTTGAACCTGGCGGTGGAGGTTGCAGTGAGCCGAGATCACACCTCAGTACTCCAGCCTGGGCGACAAGAGCAAAACTAAACACCATCTCAAAAAATAATAATAATAGTTCTCTTTGCCATCATTTCTCTTCCCGTGGAGCCGCTGCCATGAAGGTTGACCTGTGCAGTTTCAGCAGGTACAAGATCTACCCCGGACACGGGAGGCGCCACGCCAGGACCGACGGGAGGGTTTTCCAGTTTCTTAATTCAAAATGCAAGTTGGCGTTCCTTTCCAAGAGGAATCCTCCGCAGATAAACTGGACTGTCCTCTACAGAAGGAAGCACAAAAAGGGGCAGTCGGAGTAAATTCAAAAGAAAAGAACCCACCGAGCAGTCAAATTCCAGAAGACCATTACGGTGTATCTCTTGCTGCTATAATGGCCAAGAGGAATCAGAAACCCGAAGTTAGAAAGGCTCAAAGAGAACAAGCTATCAGGGCTGCTAAGGAAGCAAAAAATGGCTAAGCAAGCATCTAAAAAGACTGCAAGGGCTGCTGCTACGGCACCTACAAAGGCAGCACCTGAGCAAAAGATTGTGAAGCCTGTGGAAGTTTCAGCTCCCCGAGTTGGTGGAAAACACTAAACTGGCAGATTAGATTTTTAAATAAAGATTGGATTATAACTCTAATAATAAGAAGAAAATAAAAATCTCCTAAATCTGCCTTCGCCTTTCTACTTCCACTTTCTAGTTCAGGCCCTCGTCATGACACAGTGGAGCACTGGCCATCTCACAGGTCCTCCTGCTGTCAGGCCCGTGCATCCCCTCTCCATTCCCCTCTGCTGCTAGAGCCATCACTCAGTGCTGCGGACGGTACCCCTCCCAGGGCAGGAGGTAGGTGGATCCCCATAGCGTCATGAATGACTCTGCTTTAGTCAGCTGCCTGGGCTTTACCAGCCCCTTCCTCATCAGATCCTGGCATTCTCTGTAGCCAACCTGAAGACAGAGCATTTGCTTTTAGAGAACTCCAGCCTCGATTTGTTCTTTAGTGACTTTTTTCCTACCGTGAATTAACAAGTTGGTATTTGGATTTCATTTTTAAGATGTAAGTTAAATTGTTTCCTAGAATTGAGTCCTTGAATCAATTCACCTTCAGATTGTAATCTGAGCTCCATGTCATGGTTTACAAAGCTGTCAGTGATCTGGCCTTTGGCCACCTGTTCTACTTCTCCTCTGCAGGGTCCCGGACCCTAGGTGCTACAGAATTGAGTTCCTACTTGGTGGCAGTCTTTCCTCTGCCTGGGATACCACCTCCTCCCCCTTCTATTTCTTTTCTTTCTTTCTTTTTTTTTTTGAGATGGAGTCTCGCTTTGTCGCTCAGGCTGGAGTGCAGTGGCGCGATCTTAGCTCACTGCAACCTCCACCTCCTGGGTTCCAGCGATTCTTCTGCCTCAGCCTCCCGAGTAGCTGGGATTATAGGTGCACACCACCATGCCCGGCTAATTTTTGTATTTTTAGTAGAGACGGGGTTTCACCATGTTGGCCAGGCTGGTCGCAAACTCCTGACCTCGTGATCTGCCCGCGTCAGCCTCCCGAAGTGCTGGGATTACAGGTATCAGTCACCGCGCCCGGCCTCCCCCTTCAATTTTTGACTACCTCCAGCTCGTTTATTCCAAACGCAGCTCAGGATTTGCTCTGGAATGAAGCCTTCTCCACCTCTTCAGGGCAGCATCAGGTGGCCCTCCTCTGTTCTCCCAGAATCCCTCATTCTACCCTCTATTACAGCCTCTCGTCTTATTTGATCTCCACATCTACATGGCTGGTTTTCTTGTTTATCTTTCCCTGTAGACTCTGAGCAACTCCAGCAGGCTCCAGGTCAGTTCTCCCCAACACACTGTACCTAAATCATTTCTCTTTTGGCACCTATTGGGAGTATCCTGTGCTTTTTTCTTTTCTTTTTGCCTGATTTTTGGCATTTTAATTTTGCTTTTTCTTGATAGAATTGCTAGATTTCTATAGACGTTAGCTGTGGACTCTAAGGCAGTCCTCTCCAAAGGCATAGTGTTTGTACTACGATGGATGCGGAGCCACGAAGACTGAGTTGGGGATGGAGCCATCAGCAGGCAGCTGGGGGCGCTGCTGTGGATGAGACGCTGAGCTGACACGTGGAGACTCTTAACGATGATCGTTTCTGGGTGGATCCCAGCTGTAAATGCTTGAGACAACTTGCTTGCAGTCACCTGTAATGTTTGGTACAAATCAGGATTTGTAATTTATAGGTTCTATAATTAATATTTCAGAATTCAATATATTATTTTGCGATTTTTGAGATCTTGATTAATAATAGCAGAATAGTAACAGCCCCAAGGGAACTAAACAACACCATCATTCATAAAATGTTGTGAATCTGTTACGAGCTAATTTGAAATACGGAGCCTAAGGTGTTTTTGGTAAAAAAAAAAAAAAAAAATTTTTTTTTTTTTCTTGAGACAGAGTCTCACTCTGTTGCCCAGGCTGGAGTGCAGGGATGCAATCATGGCTCATTGCAGCCTCAAGTCCCCAGGCTCGAGAGATCCTCTCACCTCAGCAGCCCCCTGAGTGCCTGGGACTATAGGCACACCACCACACCTGGCTCATTTTATTTTTTGCAGATACGGAGTCTCCTTATGTTGCCCAGGCTGGTCTCAAACTCCTGTCCTCAAGTGATTCAAAGTACTGGGATTACAGACGTGAGCCACCGCGCCTGGCCTTAAAAATATTTTTAAACTTCCTTAAAATGCCGAAAAGATAGGAACAATGAAATACTCAAAAGAGGATTGATTTTTAAGCCTGGCTCCACACCAATTTTTGGTAACTTCATTTCTCTGTACTAGAAGTGAGGAATACAAAGATGAATGAGACAGGGTTCCTGTCACCATCTAGTGGGAGAGACAGGCTGGCAAACCAACAGTTAATCAAGGAGGTAATTTAGGTAAATGATTTTGAGCTGACATATTGGATTTATCTTTGGAGGCAGTAATTCCAAGGACAAGAACTAACTGCCTTTCTGCCAGAGCGCACATGTGAGGGTCAGAGTTCTTAGGCATAAATCAAACAATGAGTTGAACCAGTCCTCAGAGGAGATAACTGCAAACATAGGTTTGCTTAGGTTACCAACCATTGTCCCGCAGGCAGAAATCCACCATACTATTTCTTGCTGGTATTGAATTTGGTGGCCGTGTATGCAATATTTTCTGGGATGTCCTACGAATTCTGTTTCTAGAGACTTGCTTTACTACCTGAATAGTTTCCTTTGAATTTTCTTTTATTATTCTAATTATTCTTCATTATAAGTTGCTTTGCTTTGTCCTTTTTTTTTTTTTTTCAGTTTTTTTGTTAAACATTATTGGTGTGGAAAATTGTCCCTTAGGAAGCCATCCATCATTTGCTTTTTATGATTTTCAAGGAGATGCTTTTCTATGAGATGGTAGTGGAAGTGGTTGCTACGATACTAGACATAGGGCCGGGTGCGGTGGCTCACGCCTGTAATCCCAGCACTTTGGGAGGTTGAGGCAGGTGGATCACAAGTTCAGGAGTTCGAGACCAGCCTCGCTGACATGGTGAAACCCCATCTCTACGAAAAATACAAAAATTGGCTGGGTGTGGTGGTGGGCACCTATAATCCCAGCTACTTGGGAGGCTGAGGCAGAAGAGTTGCTTGAACCCGGGAGGCAGAGGTTGCGGTGAGCTGAGATGGTGCCACTGCACTCCGGCCTGGGCGACAGAGCAAGACTCCATCTCAGGGAAAAAAAAAACAAAAAACCACAATACTAGACATAGTTAATGAATAATATTAGTTAACAAAGAGGTTTGAGAACTAGGAAAGATTCTCTAAGGTTATTCTTTGATAAATCACTCGTTTTCACAGAGTTACTGCTTACTGTGGGTAATTTGTTTGCTGTTGGTTGACAATGAACCTACTTAGGAGAAGATATGATCCTTCAGGACTTTTATTTGTTCGAAATGAAAAAATTATTTCTCCTTTCAATAACAGACAGTGGTGCTTTTCTGTTATAATTCAAAACAGGTTTCGGAACACATGTCATTTTCAGGGAGAAGGAAAGGATGAATGAATGAGCTGGAGTACACTTTCTAGAACATATAAAGGGGATATGGGAACTGGATGCAGGTAAATCTTTCATGCTTATTAAGAACATTTTAATGTTTCTCAGTTGATGTATGAAGTACTTGTATTCGGCATTTGCTTCTTCAATCACAAGGAGGCAGCATAGTCTCATGGGAGGAGGGGAAGTGAGTCTATTCAAAACACCTGTTCTTCCTGCTGCCTGTGCTGTTCTTGTCCAGAAGGCCCCCTGGAGCTGGGAGTGTCTCATGGAGTCATTCAGTTCCCTGCTTCCTGGTAGAGTTGCCCCTTAACCATATGAAACAATATCTCCCACATGCTAAAAATAGCCAGGGTCTGAGTCCAGGACTTTCATGTTGACGGTCTCATGTACCTGGTGGCCCTGGGAGCGGGATGTCCTCATCTCACTCATCTCTGTTACTGTGAGTCCTACCAAGCCTGGCCAAAGTTGCCTCCTTAATAATTAGTCCTTGAATAGAATCCCCTAGGTAGTGGTTATTGACTTGCAAAATATAACACTGACTTTATACCATGTTTTTTTGTCTCATGGGGACAAAAACACTTCTCTCATAGAATATGTTTTGTTTGTGGGGAAATGAACAAAATGAGGTAAAAAACCCCAATCATCCTATGAGTAAGTTATTTTTCTGATAGAAGAGAGGGTCCAAGTTCAAGTTATAAGTGTAACTAGCCACATAGTTTCACTTAAGTCATTTCATTTTGCTGGGCTTCAGTCTCCCCATTTGGAAAATGAATGAATGTGCCTATGATATTCCAGTGTAAGTTGTGGGAACATGCCAGATATAGCAAACTGGGAAGCAATTGTAGCCAGATATGTTGAGGCACATGAATATAAGACATTTTTATCTGGGTCCTGTTTTCCCTTCTGTGACTGATTCTTTCTGGGCCCTGGGACATTTATATTCAGCCTCTGCATTTGTACATTCATTTGTTCATTCACCCACTCATTTATTCAATAAATATTTATTGAGTACTTAAATATGTGCCAGGAACTGTTCTAGGTCTCAGGATATAAGAGGGTACCAAAAAAGCAGGATCTTTTTTTTTTTTTTCAGAGAGCCTACCTTCCAGTGGGAGAGATGGACCACAAATACATAAGCAAATACATATACAAAATCATTGCAGATTATGAAAAATGGTAAGAAAGAGATAAAAAGTGTGACCGGATGGAAGGTAACTGGGGCAATCACTTTTAGGCAGATGCCTCTGAGATGCCATCTGAGCTGAGACTTGACAGATGAAGTGCCAACAATCTCAGCCTCTAAGCCTGCCAAGCTTGAGATGTTATTTGTATTAGTAATTTGCAGGTGCAAATGACCCACCTAGACTGTTTCTAGTGCACAGTATGCTTTGTTGACAAAATGCCCTGAAGCAAAATGCCACAGATGTCAGCTTCAGTTTTGTGGATTTTCATAGCATCTTCCCGTAAGGTTGGTCATTGTCGTTCCCAACCACTCCCCGGTTTGGGGGAAAGGACACAGGGTGTCCTCTGACTCTGGTGCACACAGGGTGTCCTCTGACTCTGGTGCACACATGAGCTCTCACCAGTCCTGCTGGGACCAGGCTGCAGGCAAAGAACAAACACCTACTTAATGAACTGTGATGACAGAGGAGTGGCCATTTGCTTCCTCCAGTGCTGTCCATGCCAGCTCCTGAGCCCATTTGTCACTTCCTGGGGACACAGCTGACTCATAGAGCACTGGCAGTAATCTTGGCCTGGGAGAGGTGGGAAACAGAAGGCTTGGATAAAAGCAGGTGGAGCTGGTGGCTGCCTAGGTAATATGATGGGAATTTTTGTCCACTGACCTGTCCACAATTCTTGGAATTCTGCTAGAACTCAGTATCCAATCCACTTGGTTCTGAAAGGTTTTTTTTGATTTTTGACCTTCAGCTCGCTCACTAATGTGAATGTTTGGAGGAGGATACCACTGTTTAGAAACATAATTTAGCATATTAAAAAAGACTCACAAAAAATCTCAAAATGGCAAAATCAGGTTATAGGTGTTAGGCCCTGGATCTCATTTTATCCAGAATTGTTCCATCTCTGAAATGACAAATTCATACACTCTAGAGCATGACACATAGTCTTCTAACCTTCCCACTGAGTTACCCATATTACACTGCCCTTCAGCCTCCTGGAGACCTCTTTTTCTTTTTAAAAAAAACTTTTATTTTGGGTTCAGGGGTATGGAGATCTCTTTTTCTATGAAAGGATCACAGTCTGTATCTGCCTTAAGATATAGTCATAGACAACCGTTATTCAAAGTAAGGGGCCATAAGTTTGGACGCCATGGCTCATGCTTGTAATCCCAGCACTTTGGGAGGCCGAGGCAGGTGGATTGCTGGAGCCCAGGAGTTCAAGACCAGCCTGGGCAACATGGCGAAATACAGAAAACTTCAAAAATTAGCTGGGCATGGTGGCACACATCTATGGTCCCAGCTACTCAGAAGACCGAGGTGGGAGAATCACTTGACCCCAGGAGGCAGAAGATGCAGTGAGCTATGATCGCACCACTACACACCAGCCTGGGCAATAGAATGAGAACCCATCTCAAAAAAAAGGTAAAGGGCCATGATTGTATGTCTATTTGTGTGTGTATGATTTTATCACTTTATTTGACAATCAGTGGTTGGCTCTCACCCACATTGACTGTCTATAGATGTTTGAAAGTGGTCACAGGTACATAGTTAAACCAAAGTATAGAGTTTGTTTGCTGAACCTTCACCCTCATTATGTTTTCTGCACGATAAACATGGATGTGGTACGGCCCTTCCTTTCACCCAGACATTTGTTGAGCCTAGTATTAGTGCGTACATCTGGAGTCCCCATCTCCATCATGGCAGATTTCTGGATCTCTCTTGAGTGCCTGAGGGGTATTCTTCTTGAAGCCCACTCCATGGATGCACCTGTGAATGTTGATGGTGTATCCTCAGGTCACTGCCTCATTGATGGCAGAATGACCCCCCTTTTTCTGGCTACCCTTTTTGCAGGAGTCATTCTGCTGGGCCCAAGTGGGAAGCCATTATATCCTCTATTACCTACCTTTCAGTTTAAGAAAATATTACTGTGATAGGCTGAAAAATGCTCTTCCAAAGCTACCAGGTCCTCATCTCTGAAGCCTGGAAATGTTCAGTTTGGAAAAAATGTCATAGCAGATATGATTGAGTTAAGGCTTTTTTTTTTCCTTTGTGACAGAGTCTCACTCTGATGCCCAGGCTGGAGTGCAGTGGTGCAGTGATGCAGTGGCTCACTGCAACCTCCGCCTCCTGGGTTCAAGCAATTCTCCTGCCTCAGCCTCCTGAGTAGCTGGGATTACAGGCGCGTGCCACCAAGCCCAGCTAATTTTTGTATTTTTAGTAGAGATGGGGTTTCGCAATGTTGGCCAGGCTGGTCTCAAACTTCTGACCTCAAGTGATCCACCTGCCTCAGACTCCTAAAGTTCTGGGATTACAGGCGTGAGCCACCGCACACAGCCGAGTTAGACTTTTGAAGTAGGGAGATTATCCTGGATTATCCAGGTGGGCCCTAAATGTAATTACATGTATTCTTTTGGAGACAGGCAGAAGATTTCACACTTGACACACACACAAACACACACACACACACACACACACACACACACACAGGCCCTGTGAAGACAAGCAGATTTGAAGATTGGAGTGTTGTGGCCACAAACCAAGGAATGCCAGCAGCCACCAAAATACCAAAAGTTGGAAGAGGTAAGGAACAGATTCTCCCCTAGAGCCTTCACAGCCCTGCCCACACCTTCATTTCGGCCCAGTGATACTGATTTTGGACTTCTGGCCTCCAGAACTATGAGAGAATACATTTCAGGTGCTTTAAACCACTGAGTTTGTGGTCATTTGCTACAGCAGCCACAGAAACTAATGCAGTTACCCATGCAATGAAAGCCACTGGTGTTCCTCTACTGAAATGCCGCCCTCTCTCTCCACTCTCCGGAGGGAACCAGGACCTTGAATTTGGTGTTTATTATTTCCTGCATTTCATTTTACTTTATTGCATATTTATGTATTCTGAAATAATGTCGTTTTATATATTTCATACTGTATCCTGTATATTGCTTTTTGCCCAACGTATTTTATAGATTATATATGTTGATACATGTAGCTCTAATTTTCTCTGTAGCATAGTATTCCATGGTGTGTATGCGTACCTGCACATATGTGTGCATGCTACAATTTTTTTTTTTTGAGACAGAGTTTCCCTCTGTCGCCCAGGCTGGAGTGCAGTGGCGCCATCTTGGCTCACTGCAAACTCCACCTCCCAGATTCCAGTGATTCTCGTGCCTCAGCCTCCCAAGTAGCTGGGATTACAGGTGTGCGCCACCATGCCCAGCTAATTTTTGTATTTTTAGTAGAGACGGGGTTTCACCATGTTGGCCAGGCTGGTCTCAAACTCCTGGCCTCAAGTAAACTGCCCACCTCGGCCTCTCAAAGTGCTGGGATTATAGGCGTGAGCCACTGTACCCAGCCCACAATTTTTAAATCAGTTCTTCTGTTAATGAACATTTAGGTTGTTTTTGGTTTTTCTGTCTTTCAAACAGTGCTGCAGTGAACATTTCCGTATGTATCTTCTTGTGCTTATGTGCAGAAGTGTTTCTAGGATATTTACCAGAGAAGAGAATTACTAGGTCATCCTCAGCTTTACTAGTTTTTGCCAAATTGCTCTGCGAAAGAGCAGATGTGGGTTGGATTTTGGCAGCAGGACATTTCAACAAAAGGAGTGATGTGTACTAAAGGTACAGACAGGGGAGGCATGGGAAGTGGTCATTAGTTTTCTTTGAAAAAGCAGTGGTTCTCAGTCAAGTCAGGGAAGCAGGTTTGAATCACCCTGGAGAATGTTTTGCAACCTTTTGCCCTCTGTCTCCCCATCCTGGGATGTCTTCCCAAGGAACCAATATATTTCCCCCCCGGGTAATTGCGACATGCTTTGGTTGAAAACCAAAAATGGCTGCCTGAGAAGGAGCCACGGGAGAAGAGGCAGGCAAGTTGGGTGGCGAGGACTGAGATACCCAGCCAGGAGGATGCATGTCAATCAGGGGTCACAGAGAGTCTCTAAGCAGAAGCTGAGCACCTTCCCCTCTACAGATACCCAGAGGCAGCATTAGGGCTACAGCACCCGTAGACCAAGAGCTCTGGGGTAGAGTTTAACCACATGTATTACGCTCAGCTTTGATAGCTCTTTTCTCAAGTCTTCCAACCTTGTTCACTGAGAGAGTCACTTTATAATGCAATGAGCTGTTGTTCCTCCTGGATCTCTGGGTGTACTGAAGATGCTGAAGGTTGGCTTTTTAATATTTTAATTATAATTAGCATACTAGGAAAACTCCGGGGAATAAAATACAGTACTTTCTTGCATTTATAGACTATAATATGGAATATGAGTAAAATATACATATCCCCAAGGAACCAGATATACATCAAAATAATTAAGTGGGGGCATAGCTTGGGGGTAGAACATTTGACTGCAAAATAACATATACATTGGTAAGGTTTAGAAAGACACAAAACAATCTACAGGGTTGGTCTTATAAATAAGTCTGTGGCTTATTGTCCCTAAAAATGATATAAGACTCCCTCTTTGTCAGCAAAATCTCACCTTATTTGTCATATACAAAACTATAAGACTAAATGTTTGACCTAGAAGAGTTGTTAGAGAGATCTGGTGGAGTGAGTGGCTAATGAGTGGGGTCAGGGCTAGCGCTGGGCCCACTCTCAGTACCTCCCACCACACTGCTCCTTAGCATTATCCAATGATTAGTTCAGATCGCCTTATTCTGCTGGAAGTGTTAGGGAACTCTTGAGTCTATTTGAATGTTGTGTTTACTCGAAACATTGATTGTAGCATGAAAGTTGACCATATTTAACAAATATAAAAAATTGTAGTAGTTTCTCACTACCAAGGTGAAAATGATTGCTTTTGGGGTGGAAACCTGTTATAAAATAAAACAATGTTTAGACAACTACAAAAATAAAAACTTTCAGCCAAGCACAGTGGCTCACATCTGTAATCCCAGCACTTTGGGAGGCTGAGGCAGGTGGGTCACCTGAGGTCAGGAGTTCGAGATCAGCCTGGCCAACATGGTGAAACCCCGTCTCTACTAAAAATACAAAAATTAGCTGGGCATGGTAGCGCACGCCTGTAATCCCAGCTACTCCGGATGCTGAAGCAGGAGAATCGCTTGAACCCGGGAGGCGGAGGTTGCAGTGAGCCGAGATCACGCCGCTGCACTCCAGCCTGGGCTTAACAAGAGTGAAACTCCGTCTCAAAAAAATAAATAAATAAGTGAATAAAATAAATAAAAATAAAAATAAAAACTTTCTAAATTACTTGATATCTTTCTTAATGTCTCCTAGAAAAGTGTATAGAGAACCTTTTTGGTAGTAAATAAAGATCACTTTAATAGAGAAATTTTAAACTACAACACATCCTATATTCACAAACTAGTACATCTCAGCTGTTCCGTGGATGTGGTGGGATAGGATAATAGTCCAGAAAGGTCTCAAAGTCTGAGGTAGTTGCTGGAAGAAGAAGCCTATTTCTTTGGACACCTGACTTACGAGAGGGTCAGGCTGAACTAGAAGGAGGTTTTACGGTCTGAAGTTTTAGGGCCTCCACTGTAAGTAGCAGCCGCAAAACTATAAGAGGGGGAGAAATTACCCATAATTCCACCACGCTAACACATTAATTGCCTTCATTTCCTCTGTTCACTTTTAGTTCTTAATTTTATGCCATCATTTCATGAGGCTATAAATACAGCATAGTTAAAATGCAGCATTCTTTCACTCAACATTATATTGTGAA
Source organism: Homo sapiens (assembly GCF_000001405.40). Lineage (NCBI taxonomy): Eukaryota > Metazoa > Chordata > Mammalia > Primates > Hominidae > Homo > Homo sapiens. Next base: position 195,565,409 of record NC_000003.12, read on the forward strand.
CGCTTTTGTCTGAGGACTATTCTGGTTGCAAGGAAGATTTACTCAGTCAAGTTAAATTGTCTCAGAAAATAGTTGTGTGTACGTGCCTAATCTTAGAGAAACCAAGGACAGGCGCCTAAGCTGGCTAAGCTCCCCAGGAATTGGTGCTAGGGCAGGGAGAGCCAACAGCTACTGAAGCTGCTGTCGGGGGCCTTGGGTGGGCGGGGGGATCTCTGCTTACCCTGCGTTTCTGTTCCGCACACATCACTTCAGTAGTGCATGGCCGGTAGTGGCCACTACAAGCCACATGACCTTGCAGTACCAGAGCTTTCAATGATCCTCTTTCCAGACTGCTTAAAGTCAAACTCTTATTTGATTGTCTCAGTTTATCATTTCCATCCAGCGAGGCCATAGAAGTCAGAGGTTTCTGTTCAGCCTGTGGATTGGCTGTTGCTAGCTCAGGTGGACACATATTGGTCCAATCAGGGGTGGCTGGGGAGGTAGAGCCACATGCTTTAGATTCTAGCTCTGCAGGGCAGTGAGGCCGTGCGCTGGGACCCCCCTACCTCCCCCGGCAGTGAGTGTGGCTTCGTAGTTCTTACAACTACAAATGTTCATGAACACATGACATCACATCAAGTGGCTGTTTCATGATTTATGACCCTTCCTCTGCTGTTAGCTTTAGTTTATCGCCCCTTTCAGCTTGGGGACGGCTACAATAAAACTATGAACATTTTTGGGCATACTTCTTCCTTTTCATCTTCCAGATTATATAAAATAATCTTTAAATTCCATAGATTACATTCTCTGAGCACCTCCAGAACAGAAAACATAACCTTGCAATTTTTTCTTGTTGTCTAAAAAGGGTCTGTATTTGCTAGAGATTTCTACTGAAGTCGCTATGGGCAAAATAATAGGATGTGATACGTGGGATCTGCTTCAAAGCACTTTAGGAAAAAAGTTAGGGGGTGCTGAAAGCTGAAGCAAGATTGATGAAATCTCTAGCAAATACACTTTTTAAACAACAACAAAAAATTGCAAGGTTATGTTTTCTGTCCTGGAGGTGCTCAGAGAATGTAATCTCTCTGGAATTTAAGATGATTTTATATTTTATATATACTGCTGGAGCTGATGATGGGTGCGTGAGATTTATGATACACTTTGCCTCTGTTTTGTGGTTTATGTCCTACTTCCTTTCTCTTTCTCTCCCCTCTGGATTTTTTTGTTGTTAGTCCCCATGTTTCCTCTAGACATTTGGTACTCACATACTGCCCTGTGATTCCCCCAAATTTTTCTCAGGTTCGGTTACCCCTGACACCTGCCTCATAAATTCCTTTTCCTTCCTTACCAAAAACTCCAGTCCATTTGTCTATCTACCTATTCAGTAATTCATTCACATAAAAAAAAATGAACCTATGTGTTGGTCAAGACATGAAAAATGTTGCAAAATATAGTGACATTCATTGTTTTAGATGTTACTAGACAGCTATGAAGAGGAACGAAATCACAACTTATTTTGTAGCCTGAGATAAAAGCCAGCTCCCCAGAGCAACACTCAGGAATAACTGTCTTTCAGCAGAGGAGCCAAATGCCCTCTGGCGGGGGGCGGTGGGGCCAGTGTGTCAGAGTGTAGGGTGTGGCCGCAGGCAGAGCCCAGGAGAGGCCCTCCTCCCTCCATGCCCACCTCCTCCTCACTGCCTTTTTGCTAACGGCTTTCAGCCTTTTGGGATTTAGAATTGGAAGCTATATTCTGAGGTCGTATTTATTTAGTTAAATGAAAATTGTATATATTAAAATCCTTGGGATTTTTGTAATCATTAAAGCATCAAAGAGACTCGAGTGCTCCAGAAAATGAACATTTCATATTCATGCTAAGAAAGCAAAAATCTAATGAAATGGCTGAATTTTCTATTCATTTCCCAAAACATTAGTAAATTGTCAGTTATGTGAGCTAAGTTAAATTACAGGGCGATCATTCTGAGGTCTTTCTGGTTTTACAAGTCACAATGTTAAAAAACAAACTCAAGGAGGTTTTTTTTGTTTTTGAAATGGAGTCTCGCTCTGTCATCCATGCTGGAGTGCAGTGGCGCAATCTCGGCTCACTGCAACCTCCGCCTCCCGGGTTCAAGCGATTCTCCTGCCTCGGCCTTCTGAGTAGCTGGGACTAAAGGCGCCCGCCACCACACCTGGCTAAGTTTTGTATTTTTAGTTGAGACAGGGTTTCACCATGTTGGGCAGGCTGGTCTTGAACTCCTGACCTCAGGTGATCCACCCGCCTTGGCCTCCCAAAGTGCTGGTATTACAGGCATGAGCCACCGCGCCCGGCCACAAAGACGTTCTTGAGACCTGTTGGTCCTGGGAAATTGGAGTGCTCATAGGTGTAGCTGCACAACCCTACTGCCCACCTGTGTCTGGCAGGGGTTGGGACTTTCCTGGAGCTCCCTGGCACCCTCTGTGTGCCTCTGCCTTTGCATTCTTCACCTTGGATTATAACGGCATCTTTATTTGTTTCTCCCTCACTAGACTGTGAGCTTCTGTGGGAGGACAGGGATTCTGTATTTTTCAATGCCTGGAATGCGATTGGGCTTCCGTAAATATCAGTTGAATGAAAGACAACATATATATATGTATTTTTTTCCTTAAAAGAAACTCCCTATGTTCTTCCTCATAGATTCTCCTCTTCCTTACATAAACCCCTAGATGGGTTCATTCTTCAGCCTGGCTCTGAAGACCCGAGGAGAAAGTAAACACTTCAAAGAAACTGCCCCACAGGGACTCCGAACGCCCAAGTAATTCACCCTGAAAGCAGCATCTACTCCAGAACGGGGGCATCTGGATTCAGGTCACCCAGAATACGCCTTTGCCATCAGCTTCCCCCACTCCAGAAACAGGATTGTTACCTTTAAATGAGGACAATTCAGTGCTTGGTTTTTTTCAACATAACTGCTTAAGGATTTTTTTTTCTGTTTTTCTTTTTAGAGGCAGGGTCTTGCTCTGTTGCCCAGGCTGGAGTGCAGTGGTGCCATCATAGCTCACTGTACCCTCGAATTCTTGGGCTCAAGTCATCCTCCTGCCACCACCTCCTGAGTAGCTAGCACGGGTGTGCACCACCATACCCAGCTAATTTTAAAAACATTTTTGTAGAGATGAGGTCTTGCTATGTTGCCCAGACTGGTCTTGAACTCCCGGCCTCAGGTGATCCTCCTGCCTCAGCCTCCCAAAGTGCTGGGATTACAGGCATGAGGCACCACAACCAGCCTGTTTAAGGATTTCTAAGCATAAGCTTATAATGAAAAACCCACAATAATTAATCCAACTTGGAATCTACTGCGAGCACAGCAGGTCAGCAACAAGTTTATTTTGCAGCTAGCAAGGTAACAGGGTAGGGCATGGTTACATGTTCAGGTCAACTTCCTTTGTCGTGGTTGATTGGTTTGTCTTTATGGGGGGGGGGTAGGGGAAAGCGAAGCAGAAGTAACATGGAGTGGGTGCAGCCTCCCTGTAGAACCTGGTTACGAGAGCTTGGGGCAGTTCACCTGGTCTGTGACCGTCATTTTCTTGACATCAATGTTATTAGAAGTCAGGATATTTTTTAGAGAGTCCACTGTTTCTGGAGGGAGATTAGGGTTTCTTGCCAAGATCCAAGCAAAATCCACGTGAAAAAGTTGGATGATGCAGGTACAGGAATACACGAGGGCATAGTTCTCATAGTCGGTGGCCAGGATCCAGTACGGTGCCGATGGCATAACTGAGAACCAGAGAGAGGCAGCATTATTGGAGGGAGAGGGCAAGAGAAATCTCAGGACAACACAAGAAGGCTGGCCCAGACAACCACCCACCAAGCCCCCCACCTCTGATTTTGTTTATCAATCCAGAAACAGAAAGACCCTGGAAAGAAGTTTGGACGAAAGCCTAGACTGAGTGTTTCTGACTTACCCTTTCTAGCACTGTTGGTGCCCTGCCTGCCTGCCTGCCTCACTCACCCAGAGAGAGAGACAGAGAGAGAGAGAGAGACAGCGTTATAGTCATCACCCATCTGCACATTTCAGCTGCTCTGTGTATTCCCAGGTGGACTGAGAACTCTTAAGCCCAGAGTGATTTTGCAAAAATCTGTCTCCCACCTCTGCCAGCAGCGGCATCATGGCCCACCTGCACTCACCCAGGCTGGCACATTCTGCCTTCCTCTCGTGGTCCAGTTCCGAAGAATAAATTTACCCAGATACAATACAGAAAACTTCACATGTCTCTCCTTATTTGAAAACTTTGACAGTCTCCTATTGTTTATGGAAGAAACTTCAAGCCTTTTAATGTGGCATTCAAGGCCCTTCCTAACCTCATGCCCCTCTTCATGTACACTCCCAGGCTCTAGGCCTCTTTATTCAGGCCTTCTTCTTCTTCGTTTTTTTTTTTTTTTTTTTTTTTTTTTTTTGAGATGGAGTTTCACTCTTGTCGCCCAGGCTGGAGTGCAATGGCGCGATCTCAGCTCACTGCAACCTCCACCTCCTGGGTTCAAGCGATTCTCCTGCCTCAGCATCCTGAGTAGCTGGGATTACAGGCACACGCCACCATGCCCAGCTAATTTTTTGTATCTTTAGTAGAGACAGGGTTTCACCATGTCGGCCAGGCTGGTCTTGAACTCCTGACTTCGTGATATGCCTGTATTCAGGCCTTCTTCTATGTTCCAGTTCCCTTCACTTGGAAATCCTTTTCCATAATCTCCCATAATCCTACAAGGCCTAACGCAAACATCTAATCCTTGTTATGCATGTAATAGTTAGCTTTCACTCCAATCCCCGTCCCTGATCCCTATGGGAAAAATACTCAGTTGAGAGTTTGGAGACCTAGGTTTAGGTCCCAACTCTACTTCTAATGAGTTCAGTGATGGCCTGCGTCACTCAGCCCACCTGCACTTTAGCTCCCTTCTTGATAAAAATAACAAGAGAAACTGTGTATAAAGCCCTTTACAGTTTACAGAGCGTGTGTATCTGGTTTATTTTCACGACACTGGGCAGTTATTTCTGGCTTGTACATGTGAAGTTAGTTGTCCATATTCATAGTGTGAGAAGAACTGTTTTCTCCTCCCAGCATTCCTTTCTTGGTCTATAAAATTAGAACTTCCTCTCCTCCCCGCTCTAGGCACTTGACTGGTGTGGGGTGGAGGAGTGGCAGAGATGAGAAGTAGGAAGTGCAGGGAGTAACTTTTGTAGCTGATGACTTCAGTGTCTACCCTGCAGGTGGGAAAGGGGCTTTCAAGCACTCTTCGTGTTAGAAAGCCTCACAGTTCTGGGTTGAACTCTCTAGTGTATCTTCGTCGGAAATAAAACTAATATTTGGTGCTTTCTCTATTGCCTGTGTCCCTTCCTCAGTTAGCTCAGAACCCAGAGGCAAATGCCTGTCATTAGGTATCTCACAGGATCCCCAACAATGTGACTGGAAAGTGGCAGAAGCAGGATTCAAACTTGCCGTCACTCTTGTCATCTCTTGCTTCCTAGTTTCTGCGCCGTGCAGGTTGTTCTGCTAATATCTGCTAATGTTTCGGGCCCCAGTTTCCTTTGGGAAACAAGACTGGGTTGTGTCTTCTGCAGCCCACACCCGGTGTGCACCTACTTGTGTTTCACCTGTTGAAACGCTAGCTAGTTATAGTAAATTGCGGGGTCACGTGTCAGTATCCACACTGGGATGTGAGCTCCATAAGTACCAAGGCCAGCTCTGTCCGGCTCATCATGGCAACCCTAGTGCGTGACATGTAGTAAGTGTTTGACAGATAATTATGTGCTGAGTGATTATAGATGACACTCAGGTGTCTCAGGAATTCTCCAAGCCGGGGCGCTAGCCTTCAGTTTGCATATTTCCTGTCCCTGAATCCTCCTGGGAAAAGTGGATACTTACACCAGGAAAACTTAACTTCCAGCTTGGCAGGCTCTGTGAGGTTAACTGGGGTGGCTTCACCTTCGATTTGATTCACAGTTCCATCAGCTCTGCAGTGAGTTAAAAAAAGAAAAAATACAAAAAACGAAAAGAGAAAAGAAAAACAACTCATTGAAAGCCAATAAGCAACGAAAGGCAAGATTTGTGCCACTAAGGACCGTGGCAGCCAACACCGTGATTTCTGGTAAGAGAGGCTCTCAAAGGCAGGCTAGACCCTAGCTCCATGGCCTGGCCTTTCCCTTGTGACTGTCTCTGAGGCCAAGCAGGGGAAGAGAGCAGCGGGGTGATAAGAAGCCGCAATTGACAAGCTCCAGGATGGGACAGTATGTTAGGCCCTTGCACTTCAACACTATCTCTGACTATCTTCTATGGCCTGAAAGACCAATTCCTGCTCCCAGTCTCCAAAGAAAGGGAGAAAAGAGAATGGAAAAACAAACAAAACAACCCAACACACAAAGAAGATTCACTTTTTTTTTTTTTTGGAGATGGAGTCTTGCTCTGTCCCCCAGGCTGGAGTGCAGTGGTGCGATCTCGGCTTACTGCAACCTCTGCCTCCCCGGTTCAAGCAATTCTCCTCCCTCAGCCTCCCCAGGAGCTGAGATTACAGGCATGCACCACCACGCCTGGCTAATTTTTTGTATCTTTAGTAGAGACGGGGTTTCACCATGTTAGCCAGGCTGGTCTCAAACTCCTGACCTCAGGCAATCTACCTGCCTCAGCCTCCCAAAGTGCTGGGATTACAGGCGTGAGCCGCCGTGCCTGGCAGATTCACTTCTTTTTAAAACGAGAAGGGCCAAAGGTACAGATGAGGATGGACTTGATCACTGAAAATAATTCAAAACAAGGAGACATAAAAGCGTTCCCCTTCTTTGGGCCTCAGTGATATCATGTGACATCGCCTGTCCCATCAAGGGGCCTGAGTCCAGAGACTCCCTCTAGTTCAGCAAGCCTCTGAGTGAGTGTGGGGGATTTCAATGTAGGCCAAGTAAAAGGAGGCAGTGAAGAAACATTTACTTTATCTCAGTGATTCTCAGGTATGCCCAGATTTCAGAGACATTAAATGTGAAGAAATGCATATCTCACAATTGATGTCACCTGACAATTAGCAGTGTCATTCCTTTCTTAGTGGCATATAACGCAGTGGTGTGTCTTAAAAGCTGGGGGCTTAGATTGGATGCAATACTTTCACCTCTTTGAATGAGCCTGCTTTCTAGATGACTCCCAATGGCCCCATGAACTTGGGAGAAGGGGAAAGGTGTGGAGATGGAGGCACCAAAGGGAGGGTGCTAAGGCATCAGGGTGCTCTTCCTAGGAAGCCAACAGAGGAGAGGATGTCTGTTTATCAATCCTCAAGGCAGAGCAGGGAGGCCAACTGAAATTAGAGCAGTCGTATGTGTTAGAAAGTCAGTAGGTTGGCCGGGCGTGGTGGCTCACGCCTGTAATCCCAGCACTTTGGGAGGCCAAGGGGGGGCGGATCACAAGGTCAGGAGATCAAGACCAGCCTGGCCAACACAGTGAAACCCCGTCTCTACTAAAATACAATTAAAAAAAAAAAAGAAAGTCAGTAGGTTAATGCTATGGTTAGTGGTGACGGATGTCCTAGAAACAGGACAATGAGCAACAGGCCAGGGATTCTGGGAACTGTGCTCTGATGTTCCCAAGTACTTTCTCTGTTTATCACCATGTAAAGCTGGAGACCGTGCCCTCCTCTCTCATCTGGATCTCAGACAGCTGGGGAAGATGGTCTGTTTCTATCTGCATACGTTAACTTAGCAACAAACCAGTCTCCTCCCAGCAGATTCTGCCCTTTTCACCGTCAATTGCATTTTGCTCTAGAACGGTTTTCAGGACACCAGTCTCTGACCATGAAGTCACAACATGTTCATGGAAAAACTGCATTTGTATTTTCAAGAGTGGAAGGTGGGTAGGAAGGAGCTCTTCCTGGGGCTCTTTTTAAGTTTATAGTTGCTTTCCAAAGCGTAGCTTTTTGGATTAATTATTGTGTTAGAAGCCCTCAGTAATAGAAATGTACACTTCTAAAGGATATCCTGTTTACATAACCTAGAGTGTGAATGTTGTGTATGTGATTCTTGCTTAATAAGAAAAGGAGCTTTCTGATAGATTAAGCTGCCCAGAGATGGGATGAACTGTCCTGGAAGGCGATGAGCTCCCAGTTCCTGGAAGTGTTTGAACAAAGCTGGATGCTTCTGTCAGCAGATGGTGTCGAAGCGGCTTCTCTCCCAGACTGGAGGTCAGAAGAGATGGTCTTGATGTTCTTTGCTACCAGAGTATCTATTTTGCAGTGAGTGCAGGAACCCTGTCAGTTTGTGCCCCGCAGGTGGTCATGGAAATGCATAAGTGGATCCTAGTCCTTGCCATCCTTGCCTGCCAAACGCTTTCCTCTCAATTCCTGCTAGGAGCAGGCAGTCCCGATCCAGCAAGGTTCCCATCCTCCCTGACCCAGGCTGCCGGACACCCAGTCACTCTGCATCAGCACTCCGCAGGCCTGGCCCCGGACGCCCACAGCCACTCACCTCAACTCCTGGTTTAACACTTTGATCTTTCCGTTTTCCATTAGTGAGTAGTTGGCCTGGATGCAGCGTCCATTCTCAAAGGTTGTTGGGATCTTCTCAATTTCGTACCATCTTCCGAGATACTGCAGAGACAACAAGCAGAGCAAAACCCTGTGGTTCTCTGGGGACCTGCAACTTCTTCCCCATTGTCGTGCAGACGCAGAGCCCTGTCCTGGGGAAGCCAGACAAAATGGGCCTCATTGTTCCCAGTGGCAACTGGGCAAGAGATTGATTGCAATGAGAATCTGTGACTAGGATGGGATGTGCGGGCAGGGGGTGAATGCTGAGTAAAGGGCTCTTCTCAGGGCCCACTTCAGCCAAAATCGCTGTGACATTCTAGACTCTGTAAAAAAAGGGGATGATGGGAAATACCTTTCATCTGAAACAGTGCACAATTCTACAAGTCATCTTTGAATCCTGTGCAAAGTCAGATGTGTTCGCTGTGGGGAGCTAGGACTCCAGAGCGCACGGAACTTTCCTCATCTGACCCTGAGGAGGGATTTAGTCATCAAGGCTTTGGAGAGGTGGTGGGGATTTGAAAGGTCTGTATCATGCTTTCTCTAGGGGCCTGCGCTCAGTCCAGACTTCAGGTGTATACAGTTAGCTTTAAAGGAAGCTGCCACTGTGTGGGGAAGGTCGAGGGAACCAGGCCCTCCTAGGCTGCCTGGCACGCGTTGCAGGGAGACCATACCAGTTTACAACCTCTGCGGAGGGCAGTTTGGCAATATCTAGCAAAGCTAAAAATACATATTATACTCTTTGGCCCAGCAATTTCACTTCTGGGAATGCATCCTCCTGATATAAGAAATGATGTATGTGTAAAGTTATTCATTACAGTACCGTTTGTAATAATACAAGATAGGAAACAGCCTATGTGAGCATTAGTAGGGGGCTGGGTGAGTAAACGATGGCATATCCAGACAATGGAATTTTACTTCCTCTTTCAAAAGAGTGGTATGCAGTGATTTCTAATATTTAATGACAAAAGAGTCAGGTACAAAATAGTGTATCTATTAAGGCACCTTTTGTGTAAAAATGGAGAAAATGTTTATTACGTTGGTTTTCTGTTGCTGCTATAATAAATTAGCACAAGCTTCAAACAGCACAGATTTATTATCTTGCAGTTGTGTAAGTCAGAAGTCTGACAGGTCTCACTGGGCTGAACTCAAAGTGTTGGCTGTGTTTCCCTCTGGGAGCTCTAGGGGAGGATCAGTTTCCTTGCCTTTTCCAAGTTCTACAGGCCGCCTACATTCCTTGGCTTGAGGCTTCCTCTATTTTCAAAGCCAGCAAAAGGAAGTCAGATCCTTCTCACATTGCATCTCTCTGACTCTTATGCCATCATCAAACCTCTCTCTCTTATCACAGCTGGGAAAGATTCTCTGCTTTTAAGGATTTATGTGATTAGATTGAGTTCCCCTGGATAATCAAGGCTAATCTGGCCATCTCAAGGCTCATAACTTCGATCACATTTGCAAAAGCCCTTTTCCCATGCAAAGTAACATTCACAAGGTTAGGGCGTGGACACCTTTGGAAGCCACTCTTCTGCTTACCACAGTTATTAAGTATTTGCTTGTATATGTATATATTATCTGTAAAATTACATAATACATGGTTTTTACTAGTTGCTACTGGGGAGGGAAACTGAGGTACAGAGGTGGGAGGGAAACTTTATGTGGTGTATTCTTTTACACCTTTAGGATTTTGAACAATGTAAATATATTTATCTAGTTAAAATACTAATTAGAATTTTGTTTTTTTGAGATGGAGTCTCACTATGTCACCAGAGTGGAGTGCAGTAGTGCAATCTGGGCTCACTGCAACCTCTGCCTCCCGGGTGCAAGTGATTCTCCTGCTTCAGCCTCCCGAGTAGCTGGGATTACAGGCACGTGCCACCATGCCCGGCTAATTTTTGTATTTTTACTGGAGAAGGGGTTTCACCATGTTGGCCAGGATGGTCTCAATCTCCTGACCTAGTGATCCCCCTGCCTCGGCCTCCCAAAGTGCTGGGATTACAGGCGTGAGCCACCGCGCCTGGCCTATTCTAGAAATTTAAAAACAAAAAGAGATGCGCTCACCTTCAGAGTCAGAACTTGAAAAGAGAGGATGCTGCACACAGGTGAGTATTGCTTCAGCCACGGCTTTCCGCTCAAATGTATGCCACATTCATGACCATAAAGTTCTACTCACTTATTAAAGCACAGCTTTCAATTAAAGCCACTGAACTTAACATTCATTTAAAGTACCAAAGAATAAGGTTAGAGGTTAACTGGTTTCATAGACATTCTCGGAAGAAGCTCCATTTTCTATGGTGCATTCAAATCTGTTCTATTTCTGTTAAAGTGAGTTTAGTGCCCCATAGTAAAAACCAAGGAAGCATGATTTTTCAGAAAAGAGGAAACTCAGAGCTTCCTTATGATCTCATATTATTTTTGCAAAGGCTTCTTAATCTTTTCAGATCTCTGGTCAGTATTGAAAAATAATCCTAGAAAAGAAGAGGTAAAACTCTATCTGTTTGCAGATGACATATAAAATATCCTAAGAAATCTAAAACAGAGACAAAACCAAAAACTATTGGATCTAATGAGTTAAGCAAGGTTACAAGATACAAGATTAATATTCAAAAATCAAATATATTTCTCAGCCAGACGCAGTGGCTCATGCCTGTAATCCCAGGACTTTGGGAGGCCGAGGCGGGTGGATCACTTGAGGTCAGGAGTTCAAGACCAGCATAGCCAACATGGCGAGGCCCCATCTCTATAAAAAATTTAAAAATTAGCCGGGCATGGTGGCACGCAACTGTAATACCAGCTACTCGGGAGGCTGAGGCAGGATAATCTCTTGAACCTGGGAGGCAGAGGTTGCAGTGAGCTGAGATGGTGCCACTACACTCCAGCCTGGGTGACAGAGCAAGACTCTGTCACACACACACAAAAATATATACATATATAAACATATTTCTCTACTTGCAATGAACAATTTGCAGATGAAATTAAGAAAATTCCATTTAAAAGGCCGGGCACGGTGGCTTGCTCACACCTGTAATCCTAGCACTATGGGAGGCCGAGGCGGATGGATTGCCTGAGCTCAGGAGTTCGAGACCAGCCTGGGCAACATGGTGAAACCCCGTCTTTACTAAAATACAAAAAAACTTTGCTGGGTGTGGTGGCGTGTACCTGTAGTCCCAGCTACTTGGGAGGCTGAGGCAGGAGAATTGCTTGAACCCGGGAGGCGGAGGTTGCAGTGAGCCAAGATGGTGATGCTGCACTCCACCCTGGGTGACAAAGTGAGACTCCGTCTCAAAAAAAAAAAGAAAAGAAAAGAAAAAGAAGAAAATTCCATTTACAATAACATCAAAAGAATAAAATATTTGGGAATAAATTTAACCAAAGAAACATAAAACTTATACTCTGAAAACTACAAAGTATTGTTGAAAGAAATTAAAGATGACCTAATTCAATGGAAAGATACACTATGTTGACAAGTTAGAAGACTTAATATTGTTAAGATGGCAGTACTCCCCAAATTGATCTTCAGATTTAATGCAATCTGTATCAAATTCCAATTGGATTATTTGCAGAAATTGACACGCTGATCCTAAAATTCATATAAAAATGTAAGGGACACGGAATAACCAGAAGAACAAAGTTGGAGGACACATGTGTTCTTATTTCAAAGCTTACCTCAAGGCTTTGATTACTACAAAGCTATAGTAATCAACACTGTGTGGTACTGGCATAAGTATAGACATATAGATCAATAGAACTGAGAGTGCAAAAATAAACTCTCACATATACAGTCAATTGATTTCCTATAACGATTTCCTACAAGAATATTATTTGGCAATAAAAGGGGATATAGTATTGATACATGCTACAACGTGGATGAACCTTGAAAACGTTCAGTAAACCAGTCACAAAAGACCACATATAGTATGATTTCATTTTTATCAAATATGCAGAATAGGCAAATTCGGAGACAGAAAGTAGATTAGTGGTTGCCTGGGGCTGGAAGGGTTGGAGGGGAGATGGAGACTCCGTGAATGGGTATGAGGTTCCTTTTCGGAACAGTGAAATGTTCTAAATCGATGGTGGTGGTGATGGTTGCGTAACTCTGTGATGATACTAACAACAATGGAAAGTGAAAAGCTACTTTAAACAAGTGAATTACGTGCTATACAAATTATATCTCAATAAAGCTGCTATTTTTTAAATCCTGCTTTAATTCTCAAAGGACTTCTATAAATACAGATCAGTTATCATTTCCAAAGTGCTTTGGGATTTGTATCCAAAAGCGAAAGTATAACTCAGATTCCTTGGATGTTTTCTTTAAAGCCTCTCTGTGGTCTATCAGAGTTACCTGAATAAAGGGATCAGCCTGTAAGTGGAGCAAGTCAGTGTAGACGTTAGTGTACTCTATGGCCTCTTCCTACCACACCTGTATCTCCTGATCCCATGGATGGTGCTCCTTCTCCCACCCAGCGTCCCCTCAGAGGTCCCAACACTCATTCACCTTGAGGTGCGAGTGTATGATAACAACTTCGATGTTACTGTTGCCATTCTTAAAAGAGATCCAAACCTTCTCCTAAGGAGAGGAAGTCTTAAGGGTGAGATTCCAGGCTTGAGTAGCAACAGTGGGAGCCTGTGAGTCCTGTCCTCCAATAGCTGCCTCTTTCTGCCGCCCTCTTCCTTCCCCTCCCGCTAAACCCCAGGAAGAAAGACCATCTATGGAGGAGCTCGTTGTATTGATGACATTTTGGTGCAGATACCAAGAAAGCCCCCTGGAGAATTTTGGGCTTTCCTGAGCCCTGTTTGAGTGACCTTTGGGTGCCCTGCACTGCTGAGAAGCCTGGTTTTGAATCCTACTTGCATTTACCAGCTGCGTGAGCTGGGGAGGGAGATTCCGATGCTGCATCTGTAGAACAAGGATAATAGCTCTGTAGCAGCTACTATGGTTCCCTGGTCCTGTTCCCCTCAGCCCACCTCTGAGTTCACCGCAGCCACGGTAGGCAATTCCCAGACACTGCCAGCCTCCCACCTGAGACCCTGTGTCTCTCCTCTGCCAGGGGGCTCAGCTAGAGCCACGGATGCTCCCATGACCTGCTGGCAGCAGCTGTGGGACAATCGGAGGGGCATGCTCCACGTGTCCTCAGAGGGTGCCCAGTGTGACTGACCCTGACGGCCCAGGGCGACAGCTCAGGAACGCACCCTTTATTGCTTCTGTGCTGTCTCCGACTCACCTTCCCACCTGCTCTCGTGCGTCCCGGGATCATCCCAAACCTCTCTGCCTGCAGTCTTTATCTCAGCAGATGTCTGCTTTGGGGAAACCCCAAATAAGATAAATACTTGTCCCAAGGTGTGCAGTGGAAATTAAAGCAGCATAATTACATTGAACCTTGTAGAACGCTTATTCACAGCGGAGGCAGCAAAACAAACGGGAGGTTCGCCTTTTACCTTATTCACGTCAAAATTCTCCTGCACCGGAGGATTGGGGCACTTCCCAAGATGAAATGCTTGTCCCTCTGCCGCACCGAAGAGGCCAGCCAGTGCGGAAAGCAGCAGCAGCAGCATCACCATCTTGGGGCTGGGTGGCTGGAGAAGGGACCTGGAGCTGCGGGAACGCAAAGCAGCTGGGGTTGTCATTCTGAGCCTTCTAAGGCCACACAATCATGAAGTAAGAGTGCTGTGCCCATGGTCCCCTCTGTGGGCGGTCCCTCCTCTTCTCTCCCCAGCCCATGTGAACCCTCATCCTGCAGGGGAACACCTGCCTGTCCTTGTTGCTGTGAGGCCTTCCTCAGAGCCTCTGCACCTCCACGAGGGCGCTCTCTGCCTGGTATTCTGGTTTGTTGGATTGATTTTCACCCCTGTCCCACCTAATTATGCATCTCCCAGGATGGGCACTGTGTCTAGTTCTCCTCAGAATCACCCACGGACCTCAAAGTGTCGGCTCAGTAGATACTTGTCAAATGAACAGAAACAGCGTGGAGAGGGCTATGTAAAGTGGGGGATTAAAGCCTCCAAGTGAACCACGAAAGACACGAAACCAAACCAAATGTTGCCCAACACTTAGTGTCCTCTGAGATTCTTCAGGGAGATGCCTCTCTGACACCATCCCTCCCCCTGCCCTCGTCTTGCTGGCTGTTCTACCAGCCCAAGAGTGCGCTTGGAAACCTTAACAGGGAGCGGCCTGCTGGGGGCTCCAGGGTCACCCCAGCCAGGTTCAAATTGTGACTCTGCCCCATACTAAGTATAACTGTGTCCAATTTATGCCTTAGCTTCTTTGTCTAGTAAATGGGAATAATTATCATTCCTAGCTCATGAATTTTTGTGAGAATTAAATGAGATAATATACAGAGAGTACTTAGAGGAGTGTCTGATACAGAGTAAATGCTCAATAAATGCTAGTTATTGTTATTATCAAAAGCAGAAAGATGATGGTATTTCCCAGGTTTCTTCTTTCTTTTCTTTTCTTCTTTCTTTCTTCTTTTTTTTTTTTTGACATTCTGTTGAGGGTTTTTGTTTTGTTTTGTTTTGTTTTGAGATGGAGTCTCACTCTGTCACCCAGGCTGGAGTGCAGTGGCACAATCTCGGCTCACTGCAACCTCTGTCTCCCGGGTTCAAGTGATTCTCCTGCCTCAGACTCCTGAGTAGCTGGGATTACAGGTGTCCACCACAACTCCCGGCTAATTTTGGTATTTTTAGTAGAGACAGGGTTTCACCATGTTGGCCATGCTGGTCTCAAACTCCTGACCTCAGGGGATCCACCCGCCTTGGCCTCCCAAAGTGCTGGGATTACAGGCCTGAGCCACCGCACCCGGCCTGTTGAGGGTATTTTTCATAGATGAAGTTCATTAAATCAGAGAAGGACTGTCAGCTGATGTGTAACTGTGCAACAAGCATTTCAACCCCAAGAGTCCTTTGGCAGCAGAAGCTGGCTTTGAAGCGGGGCAGCAAGGCAGGGAGACAGAGGCTGCAGGACTGTGTGCAGGTTCTGGGCATTGGAAGCTCCCCTGTTTCCTTCACTGACTCGCTGTCAATTTGCTCCTTTCCTTGTGACTCCTTGCCTGTAGCTTGCACACGAGCTATTTCCAGCTCTCTGCATTTCTCCCTGTAATGATGATGACTGATGCAATGCAAGCAAAATGTTCTCAGATCTGAGCATTTCGAAGGATGTGTCATTACAGGAATAATTATAACTGCTTTATTGTGAGTCTCTAAACCTCTAAATACCCTTTAATAATCAATAGCTTTTTTTCCCCTGGAGGTTTTGTTGCCTGGTTTTCCAAAGAACAGTTATGTAAGGAGTGGCAGCTTGCCAGCTGGGGTTGCTGCAGGGGGAGATGGTTGCTGAGGCCCCTTTGAGCAAGTCTGCCACAGGGCCACTTTCCCTGGTCTCTGAGGTTCCGTTTCTCATCGGCTCCACCACTGTATAAACAAAACCTGTCTTTTAACCTTTTGGGGGATGATGAATTTATAGAAATGCAGCCTAAACCCACACAAATTTGCATCCATTTTAAAGAGATCTTGAATTCTACTTAGTAGGCCCAAGCTGAAAGCCTGGCCCAGAGGATCAAACCTCAAAGACTGGCCACACACTATGCACATTCCACAAGGTCCCCACACTGGATAGGACCTTAGAGGTCATCTTTCTAGCTCTACTTCCAAGGTGTACAGATGGGGAAGCTGGGGCCTGGAAGGGGCAGAGAGCTGGGACTCGAGCTCCATCTCCCCCTCTCCTGTCTGCAGCACCCCGAATCTGCTTCTTCTGTGCACCGCCATAGGGCCTTTCAATAACCCCCCACCTCTGTGACCTGATGAGTCTCACCACCACATGACACTGCAACAAAAGTCAGTTCTACATCTTACTCTGACAAAATGCTCTCTTGTGAGCTGAAACAGATTCTTTACCTCAGTAGGAGGATTTCAGAACAACCCCTTTGACTGACCCTCTTCCAAAGATGCCTCTTGGTTACATTAGTTTTATTCCTGTGGTTAAAACTCCTTGTGATGCCAGGTGCGGTGGCTCAAGCCTGTAATCCCATGGGAGGCCGAGGCAGGTGGAGCACCTGAGGTTGGGAGTTCAAGACCAGCCTGACCAACATGGAGAAACCCTATCTCTACTAAAAATAAAAAAATTAGCTGGGCATGGTGGTGCATGCCTGTAATCCCATGCTGCCTGTAATTACATGCATGCCTGTAATCGGGAGGCTGAGGCAGGAGAATTGCTTGAACCCGGGAGGTGGAGGTTGTGGTGAGCTGAGATTGCATCATTGCACTCCAGCCTGGGCAACAAGAGCAAAACTCCGTCTCAAAACAAGCAAACAAACAACAACAACAAAAAAACTCCTTGTGAGAGAAAGGGCGGACAGCATCCATTATAGTTTTCAATGTCCTTTCATTCTAATTTACTCATTACTTATTGAGCATGTTATTAATGTGTACTTAAGACTTTGGGTAACATATGGATTATATACGACATATATTTTTGCATCTTCTTCTGATATCAATAGGAAGATTGTTCTTATGAGGAGTTTAAATACTTTACAAAATAAGTATAATTTAAATATTATTTTTGGCCGGGCATGATGGCTAATGCCTGTAATCCCAACACTTTGGGAGGCCGAGGTGGGCAGATCACTTGAGGTTAGGAGTTTGAGACCAGCCTGGCCAACATGGCGAAACCCCGTCTCTACTAAAAATACAAAAAATTAGCCAGGTGTGGTGGCAAGTACCTGTAATCACAGCTACTCGGGAGGCTGATGCAGGATAATTGCTTGAACATGGGAGGCAGAGGTTGCAGTAAGCCAAGATCACACCATTGCACTCTAGCTTGGGCAACAGAGCAAAAACTCCATCTCAAAAAAACAAAACAAAAACAAACAAACAAAAAATACAAAAATTAGCTGGGCATGGTGGTGCAGTCCTGTAATCCCAGCTACTTGGGAGGCTGAGGCACAAGAATGGCTTGAACCTGGGAGGCGGAGGCTGTAGTGAGCCGAGATCGCGCCACTGCACTCCAGCCTGGGTGACAGAGTGAGACTCCGTCTCAAAAAAAAAAAAAAAGAAATATGATTTTTAACAGAATATGAGGTAATTAAAAAGCAATCCAACTAAGGTGACAGTGCATCCACCTTGGGCCTGGCACTAGCTGGAAATCACTGCTCCACTTGCATTAAGCTTACCCGTGGAGAAGCCCTGGTCCCAGGATTTTAAGGGTGCTATGCGCTCAGTCTCCACAGCACCTCCTCTGGAGGCGACCTCTGCTGACACTCTCTTCATACCAACGAGGTGAATTTGCCCGGGTTACTTCCTGGTAAACTACGAAGCCACAGTGTAAGCCTAGGCCTGGGGACAGGCTAGAATGTAAGCCTAGGTCTCCCACAAGCCCGCGCTCTTAGTGCCTGGGGACACAGCCCCTGACCTCAAAGATCTGCAGAACGTGAAGGACTAGATTTTGAAATTTCACCTCATAAAATAAAATAGGTTCCAATAAGTCATTAGGTCTCAAAGACTCATTTAGCCATTAAATATAACAAGACACGTATCTCCCAAACACAATATTTTATGCCATATTGTCAAATGCATTTTCTAGTCACACCATTAATTCCAGTTTCCAGATTATTTTACTGCGATGCACCGTTGGACAGCTTGCTGAGAATTCACCTAGGACGGTGTTTGTGCATGGAAACACCTCGTTGTCCAGTTTGGAGGGGTAAGCAAAAGACGCTGGGATGAGTTCACACTGGGTTTGGTTTTATCTTAGGCATGTTGCTAGTGTATCTGAACCTCAGCTTTATCACTGGAAAAATGGCTCTGATGATACCTACCTTGTACATTTGTTTGAGGAAAAATGAGAACAAGTCTAAAGCTACCGGCACAAGCTCTCAATCAGTGGTAGTTATATGTAGCTGAAATGGGGCAATGGAGAGTCTAGACTGTTTCTATTTTAGACATTATTATCATAAATGAAAAGCTTAAAACTACAGTACATACCTTTTCTTTCAAGATGAAGGCAGTTTCCAGATGCAGAATCAGCCGATTTGAGATGCCTGTCTTGGTGACTGGCCTCTCCCAAGCTATTTTATAAGCTTCTTCAGGTCTCTGATGTTTACTTTTCATGCATGCCACGCCCGCCGCCCCCATCCAGTCAGGAGGGTTGGCCTAAAAGCTTAGTCTGTATCGAAACACAAAGATGGGATGTTGTGTCCATCCTCCTCCCCCGATTTCCTTCACAGCTGCTCCCTGAAGAAGAAATGAGATATTGTTTTCGCGCGCGCGTGTGTGTGTGTGTGTGTGTGTGTGGGTATGTGTGCGAGAGAGAGAGAGAGTATGTGTGAGAGAAAGATAAAGTATATTTTCATCCAAAACATTTTTTTTTTTGCTATGTGGATTTTCTAATTTAATTTTTTTGGTCAGAATGCACTTTTAAGTTCCAGCAGGACGTGTTGCAACATGTTTTCAAACATCTGGTATTTATTTTTCATTTTTGTGTAAATGAAAAATCAACAAGCTCATTTCCTGAAGTGGAACATGGAGTTCCTGACTCCACTAATGGGAGTCAGGTAATGGCGCGAGGGTTATGAGTCAAAGCTGGCTTTCTCCAGGATCCTGGGCAGCCCCCTAACTTCTCTGAGCCACAGTCTCCTCGTTGTAAGTAGGGGCTGTCATTCTTTCTCCACCAGAGCCAGACGTGTAGGGGAGATACCAGTTCTCTAACAACTGGGGCTAAAAGTTGAGAATGCAGAAGACATCTTCTGTCGCTCTGTTCTCTGTCCCTTTTATGACCCTTGCAGCGAGAAGTTCAAGACAGTCTGTCACTGCTTGGGGGTGGGGGCCGGGGTGGTGGGGAGTGTGGACTTAAACCCAGGGGTGCTTTTGGTCCAGCCTTATCTCTCCTGGTGGAATGAACAACTTTGACTCTTGTGAGTGAGATTCTATGTCTTTGTGATAGGCAGGAGGTATGTTTAGAGACATTTAGATAAGGCAGTGCCTTCGTAGTAGACTTAGACTCCTAAATGAAATTCATTCTAAAATATGTAAGCAACAGAGATACATTTACAGCACTGAGTCTATAAACATGAAAACAACAACACAGATCCGTAACATCCCAAACGTTGTGAGCGCTTTCTTTAAGATGTTCTTTGCCTTTTCAGAAACATAAGAAATTCCTACTACCACCCAGGGCCTGCCTCTCGCTGACCTCCTGTGCTGCCCTCCCCTAAGAGCTCTGTGTAGCTCCCTTCCCCACTCCAGGTCCCTGATCAGATGACACTTTTCCCTAAAAAGCTTCCTGACCTTTCAAAAATAGCACTCTTGTCACTGTCCCTTTCCCTGCTTCATTATATCTTTACCTGAAATTCTCTCCTTTATTTATACATTATCCTGCTTAGTATGTTTTCCCCAGGAGGATAGGAGCTTGAGGCGTGCCAGGAGTTTGTCTCTTTGACTCTGTGTTGTGCCCCAGTGGCTAAGCACATACTAAGTGCTCAGTAAATACTTATAAATTAAATGGATGCTATCCAAAGAACTTAATGAGTTTCTAAGATATACAAAAGGCCCCAGAGGTAATATTCACGCGATTTTGATTTCAATTGTATTTCTGGAGAAGCACTAGCCTGTATGTTTCTGTCTTCTTCACCTGTATCACATTTGCCACCAAGAATTGCCTGTCATTGAAGAAATACACAGTTAGCCTCTTTTCAGCCTATTACAAAAAATTCTCTCTCCTCTAAGCAGTTGCACAGTTTTCCACAAAGCACTGTTGCCTAAGTTTCCAAATATGTATGTTGGAGTTGGAGATATCTATGTATTTTAGCCCTCAGCACTGAAGTCGGCAACCATGGAGCTGAAGGTCCAGGTCTAGGAGTCACAGCGGGAGAAAAGCCACACGATCTTCCTAGGTCTCAGTTCATTTTTTCTGTAAATATTGGTAAGTGATATATTCCTTAGGGAAATCCTCTCTTCACATGTTTCTGGAATGTATAGCCAGTAACAAATTCTTAAGCAGCATAAAACAAATCAGACCTATCTTCTAAGCAAGTGTTTATTTTTAAGTCCCAAAATAAATACACATTTGTTCAAAACAATTAAAATAGCACCAAAATGCAGGACTCAGGAAATGTAAGCACCTCATAATCCCACACCTCAGAGATAAGCATTATTTTGTTTGTAATTATTCCTCTAGATCTTTCTATACAGATCCCTATGTAATAATAACAATATTCAATGTTCTGAAACTTTTTTTTTTTTTTGAGACCGACCTTCACTCACTCTGTCACCCAGGCTGGAGTGCAGTGGTGCAATCTTGGTTCACTGCAACCTCAGCCTCCCTGGTTCAAGTGATTCTCCTGCCTCTGCCTCCCGAGTAGCTGGGATTACAGGCGCCCGCCACCACACCCAAGTGATTTTTGTATTTTTAGTAGAGACGGAGTTTCACCATGTTGGCCAGACTGGTCTCAAACTCCTGACCTCAGGTGATCCACCCGCCTCGGCCTCCCAAAGTGTTGGGATTACAGGCATGAGCCACCGCCACTGCGCCCAGCCAAGAAACTTGTTTTTTAATGTAACAATGTATCTATCTTTCTATATCAGTACACATAGATCTACCTCATTCTTTCACCTGCTGCAAAATCTTGCTTTTACCTGAGAGCACATTTCTTTTTTTCCTTTCTTTTTTTTTTTTTGAGACAGAATCTCGCTCTCGCCCAGGCTGGAGTGGTGCAGTGGCCGGATCTCGGCTCACTGCAAACTCTGCCTCCCAGGTTCATGCCATTCTCCTGCCTCAGCCTCCTGAGTAGCTGGGACTACGGGGGCCTGCCACCATGCCCGGCTAATTTTTTTTTTTTTTTAGTAGAGACGGGGTTTCACCGTGTTATCCAGGATGGTCTCGATCTCCTGACCTCGTGATCTGCCCGCCTCGGCCTCCCAAAGTGCTGGATTACAGGCGACAGCGCATTTCTTGAAGAGACAGTCTGTGGTCTGTGGTTTTTCCGGAAAGCAGTTCTTTGTTGGGTGATGATCTTTCATCATGGAGGTGATTGCCTCAGTGGTTTCACTCTCAGACCCGCAGGGAAGATGCAGTTATTTGAATGGACTCTTTGTGGCAAGAAATAGAGAACTATCTCATCTCCTAAAAAAACATGTTTCTGGATGAAGAATTCTTTATTTCTTAATAAGTGGTTCTTTCAACTACCAGAGTCATCCTGTATGCCTTTCTAAAGTGATTTTTCTTTTGTCAGTTAGAATAAAGGGGACGCACAAATGTACTTTTCGTGTGAAAATGCAGACTGAGAGGTTTCAGTAGTGCACCTTCACTCTTTAAGACTCGGCTCAAATGTCCCCCTCCCTGGGTCATCTTCTGGATTCCTAGCCCACCCCACGCAGCGTTCTCCCATCTGCTTTGTGTTTTCATGGCACATGTCACCCTGTCCTCACTCATTACACTATGCTTATGCCTCCATCTCCTTCTGGAGACGGTCAGATCCACCCAAGTAGGATTGTCTTTTTATCCCTGGCACCTTACATGATGCCTGACACGTAAGTGTTTACTAAATATTCCGTGAATGATGGAATGAATAATAGAATATGCTAGATTCTCAGTCCTTGCTGGGCTTGTTATAGACCTCATTATTCATTCAGAGGCCCTCTTTCCTCTCCCTCCTGTGCCCTGGTGGCCATTTCCCTTCTCACTGGGCTCTGGAACTAGTTGAAAGTTTAATGGTGCCAAGCATCTGGTCAACAGGAAGACAGCAATCAAACTGGTGAAAACAGCAGCTTGATATGGCATGCAGGGAAGAACACTGGACTGGGGGCAGGAGGCCTGGGTTCTGGTCCTAGCTCTGTTACTAATTTATTTATCCATTCATTCACGCATTCAACAACATATAGCAACACTACGTTGCTGTATGTATACACACACACACACACACACACACACACACACACACACACGGGGGTGCGGGGCACTGTTCTGAGTCCTGCAGATATAGTGGTAAAGAAGAAAGACAATGTCTCAGCCCTTGTGGGACTTACCTCCCAGAGGCGAGATAGACAGACAGACAGGAAAAATACCTAATTAGAGTGGGTTGAGGAGGGAGAGTACCTATTTTTCCTGTCTATCTGTGTGACTCTCCTCTGGGAGGTTAGAAAAGAGAATAGGATGACGTGATAGGAAGTGAAGGGTGCCCACTTCGGTCTGGTGGTCAGGAAGAGTCTCTTTGAATACTGACATTTCAGCTGAGATGTGAGTGATGAATGGGAACCAGTCATTCAAACACCAAAGGAAGAGTGTTCCAGGAAGAACTGCCAGTGCAGGGGTCCTAAGGTGGGAACAGACATTAAGTTTTTAAGAAATGGAGAGACCAGTTTGGCTGGAGCAGAGGTGAGGAGGAAGTGAGTGTGGAGAGGTAGACAGAAACCAGAATCTATCTTGCTTTGAGGACCTTGAATTTTATTTCAAGTACAGTAGGAGTCATGGGAAGGTTTTAGGCAAGAGCATGACATGGTTATTTGGGCTTGACTATCAAGAATGGAGAATAAAATGGTTACAGATGGATCAGCTGAGGAGCCCCTGTGGTCATTTGGGAAATAGTTTGATGGTGGTTTGGGCTAGAGTGATTAGCATACAGATGGAGAGAAGTGGGCAAATTTGGAATGTGCTTTGGAGATAAAGTGGACAAGACTTGCTGATGGGCCGCAGGTGGAAGATGAGGAAAGCCGGGAATCGAGACTGGCTCTTAGATGTAAAGGTTGAAAAATCAGGTGAACGCACCTGCCAGCTGCTACAGATGGGAAGCCTGGAGGGTGAGTCTGGGAGAAGAACTCAAGTTCTTTATGGATAAGCTATGTTTGAGTTGCCCCATCAGACATCTAAGTGAAAATGTTAAGAAAGCAATTAGATATTCAAGTGAAGTTTGGGGGAAAATCAGGGCTGGAGATAGAGATTGGGAAGTCATCAGAACATACATGGTCTTCAAAGCCATGAGACTGGATGGGAACACTAAGGGAGGACATTTAGAAATGGAAAAAAAGGATGCCCAGGACAGATCCCTGGTACCCTCTAACCTTCAGAGACTGAGCAGAGAAGAAGGAGCCAAGAAAAGAGGCAGGGGGAGCAGGGAGGGCAGAAGTCCAGTTGGAGTGGGTTGAGGAGGGAAAGAGGAGGCAGCAATGCTCTTTACCTGTGAAGGAAAGTAGAGAAATAGTAGTTGAACAGAGACCTGCAGGTTAAGGGAGATGCTTAGAGCATGCACAGAGGGACGATCTAGTAGAGGAAAAATCTGCAGGAGAGAGGGGAGGGATCCAGAGTGCAGGTGGAGGTGCTGGCTTTGGAGAGAAAGGAAGGTTCTGTGTCTGTAGAAACAAGAGGAAGGCAGAGAGTAAACACCCAGATGAAGGAGCTGTGTAGATCAGGAAGAAGCTGAGACAGGATTTTCTCTTTGTGTGACTGTGGTCAAGTCATGTACTTTGCTGAGATGTGTGGGAGAAATAGGTCTGCTCTGATGATGGTGGAGGGTCTTTTCTGAACACATCCACTTGGCTAACAACACCTGCCTTAGCACCTGCTTTATTTGTAAGGGACACAGTGTGGTATCGGGGGAACCCGCCCCCAATATTTCAATGCAGGTTCTTTCTATTTTCCATAAGTGTCAGCCAGCTGAGAAATAAAGAGAAAGAGTACAAAGAGAGGAATTTTACAGCTGGGCTGCTGGGGGTGACATCACATATCAGTAGGAACGTGATGCCCACCCGAGCCTCAAACCAGCAAGTTTTTTATTAAGGGTTTCAAAAGGGGAGGGGATGTAAAGCAGGGAGTAGGTACAAAGATCACATGCTTCAAAAGGCAAAAAGCAGAACTACTAATAAGGGTCTAACAAAGATCACATGCCTCTGAGGGAACAGGACAAAGGGCAAAAGCAGAACCACAGATAAGGGTCTATGTTCAGCAGTGCACATATTGTCTTGATAAACATCTTAAACAACAGAAAACAGGGTTCAAGAGCAGAGAACCAGTCTGACCACAAATTTACCAAGGCAGAGCTTTTCCCCACCCTAATAAGCCTGAGGGTACTGCAGGAGACCAGGGCATATCTCAGTCCTTATCTCAACCGCATAAGACAGACATTCCCATAGCGGCTGTTTATAGATCTCCCCCCAGGAATGCATTCCTTTCCCAGGGTATTAATATTAATATTCCTTGCTAGGAAAAGAATTCAGCGATATCTTTCTTACTTGCACGTCCATTTATAGGCTCTCTGCAAGACGAAAAATGTGGCTCTTTTTGCCCAACCCCGCAGGCAGTCAGACCTTATGGTTGTCTTCCCTTGTTCCCTAAAAATCACTGTTATTCTGTTCTTTTTCAAGGTGCACTGATTTCATATTTTTCAAACACACATGTTTTACAATCAATTTGTACAGTTAACACAATTATCACAGTGGTCCTGAGGTGACGTATATCCTCAGCTTATGAAGATAACAGGATTAAGAGATTAAAGTAAAGACAGGCATAAGAAATTAGAAAAGTATTATTTGGGAACTGATAAATGTCCATGAAATCTTCACAATTTATGTTCCTCTGCTGCAGCTCCAGCTGGTCCCTCCATTCAGGGTCCCTGACTTCCCACAACAGTGTGGAAGGTGCAACCCAGAGCTTATTAGAATAATGACTCCTAACCACAGAATGCAGAATGCAACACATCAGGTCCTGTGTAGGTGCTTTCTGTACCTTAGCTCTAATTGTTGCTACACCCTAAAAGGCAGGCATGACTACTATTCCCATTAGAGGGATAAAAACACAGAGAGGGCCAGGTGCAGTGGCTCACGCCTATAATCCCAGCACTTTGGGAGGCGGAGGCAGGTGGATCACTTGAGGTCAGGAGTTCCAGACCAGCCTGGCCAACATGATGAAACTCCGTCTCTACTAAAAATACAAAAATTAGCAGGGGGTGGTGGCGGGCGCCTGTAATCCCAGCTCCTCGGGAGGCTGAGGCAGGAGAATCACTTGAACCCGGGAGGCGGAGGTTGCAGTGAGCCGAGATGGTGCCACTGTACTCCAGCCTGAGTGACAGAGTGAGACTCCAGTTCAAAAAACAAACAAACAAACAGAGGGGAGGGGGAGATGGCCATGCAACTTTTCTGAAGCGATGAAGTGAGAATTTAAACCCTGACCAAACTCATGCTTTTATCCATTACATTCTCTTACCCCAGCAGGGAGAGAAAGGAGTGAAAGGGCTCAGCTGGGAGATGGGCCAGGGGTTAATGCTCTCAGGTTAAATACCTGCCAGTCTTCCCAGCAGAACAAGGGGGCACCAACTGCTCACTAATTCCTAACAAGAGTTGAGGGCCGAGACGTCGGTAGCAGGCTCAGAGGCCAGTGTTCCAGACTCCCTGACCCTGACCTCCTGAAAGCAGAGGAATTGACCCATCTACTCAGTCCACAATCCAACAGTGCTGCCCACCACGTTTAGGAGTTGGGCGTCTCAACCAGTCACCAGTGCCCTGGCCAAATCCTCCACCAATTTACTGTGACCCTAAGCTTTTCCAGATGTTTACCGAGAAATAATATTTGCCTGGTGTTGCAATCCTGGATAAAGCAAGGTCAGTTCTTATGAATACTCTGAGGGCCAGCAGGGTTTCCTCCACACCTTCCCACATGGATGAAATTCAGTTTTCAAAGCAGAGGCAGCAAGATTTCTGTTTTGTTTTTCTTAGTTTCCTGAAATATTAAATTAGTAAAAAACACAAAAGCACAGGTGCAGGAATAAGGAGATGGGGTTCCTGTCCAAGGCCTCTCACTTCTTCGCTGAGTGACCTTGGAGAGTTTCCTAAGTTTTCAGCAAGAGGTTTGGCTGTCAGGTGTTGATCATCTGAAATCCATGGATGTCCATAGGAAGTTGGGTAGAATTGTTTTTCAAGATAATTGAATTCCTTTGTGATCTCATGTCTTTTATTTTATGTATTTATGGATATTTTTTTGCCAAGCTGTCAAAGGGGCACACGGCACAGAAAGGGTTGAAATGCTGCCAGAAGATCTGTGGGGTCCCAGCTTGACTCAACATTCTGTCATTTCCATTAGTGTCCCTTCTGGGATTGGGATTCTCTTAACCAAGTCCATCTGGGTGTGGAGGAATTAAGGGAAGTTTCTCAATGCTGGGTCAGAGGGGTCAATAAACAAGAGGCAATGGAACCATCGCAAGTGGGCTGGGGCCCAGGCCCCTGGAGGGAGACACCCAGGCTCTTGGGCCTCACATGCTGTCATCATCTGGGTAGCAGGGCTGTCACATCCACACACTCATAAGTGGAGTTGGGGACCACTCCTGAGAGGCAGGAGCAGGCTGCAGCCTGAGATGTCTTGGAAGCCATGTGCTGCCTCGAGAGAGAAAGGAGAAGGAGGGAGGGAGAGGATGGGAGCAGGAGAGGAACTGTGACCTGGACCATCCTCCTGTCTCTCACGTCATTTCCACTCCTACAACACGGTTTCTGATCAAAAAGTGTGACGTTAGGATAAGTTCTGGTTCAGAGAGGTATCACTGAGTGATCAGCCAGTATCAGATGTGGACACTCATTGTGCTAGGCAGTTTATGTGTGTTTCTCTCTTGTACCAGTAGAAACCATGTAAGGTACGTATGATGATAGCCATCTTCTGGGGGAGATAACAGGCTCACAGAGGTCAACGAGCTTGCTCCACATGGCATAGTGAGTGGCCTAACCGAGATTCACACCTGGATCTGTCTGGCTCCAAAAGATGTGTTTCTTGGTTTGTTAGACACTGACAAAGCTCTTCTGCACGCACTGTCTGTGAATGGGAGCTACTGGCCAGCCTCTCAGCCCAGTGTCAGCAATCCCTCTCCCTCTTGGACTGAGCCATGTCCAAATGTGAAGAACAGGATTTCTATGTCTTCACTGAAGTCTGTAAGAAAATGACCATGTTTTATGTATGTATGTCTGTATGTATTCACGATCTACTTTGTCAAAAGTGGTATTGTACTGTGTCTAGAGTTTGTGTGTGGCCTGGAAGGCTTCTTTTAAGTTTTCTGGAATTAGTATTTACCAGTGGCTCCTCATCAGGGCTATGTAAAGAGTATTACCAGGTTTGAGAATCACAGCGCCCTCCATTAAGAATGGCAAGGGTTTTTCACGGGCTACATCTCTTAGAGGGGCAAGTGGGTGGGTACAAGGAAGAGGAGGTGACTAAGAACCACAGATTTCACTGCTTTCCAGATTTGGAGGGGGGCTAAGAAATACAGTGGACCCACTACGTATTCTAGAATAGAGCAGTGCACCCCTGGATCCCATAGACCTTGTCTAGGGACTGAGAGCCCATTTCCAGAATTATTGGTTGAGTGAGATATTAATAGTAATCTTTGTGCTTTTCTTTTCCACACTTGTGTTAGTGACCCCTCCTCAGACCAGTGGTCCTTTACTCTGGCTACAAATACTTAACATTAAATGATAAACTTAGGCACATGAACATTTTAAAGAGTTTACTTGAGCAGACAGTGATTCATGAATCGAACAATAACACAACAAGTGGTTCAGGGCTCCAGCAAAGGGGTGCAAGGGAAAATCTTTTATAAGGTGCTCATGGAAGCAAGACAAAGAAAATATTTGATTGGTTAATGTGCAAAGTCCCTCGTTAGAGGTTAGTTTGTGGTTCCTAATTGGTTAATCTTAAATTTTGTTTTCCTAGGTTAAAACCATTCCTTCTGAGTTGGGTTTCAGTTGGTTACATAGGAACTCAAGGCCCTGGAGCCATCTCAGCCTAGTGGCCTCTCAATTAATTCTCTTAACAGTACTGATTCTAGGGCCGGGCATGATGGCTTACATCTGTAATCCCAGCACTTTGGGAGGCCGAGGTGGGCGGATCACGAGGTCAGGAGTTCAAGACCAGCCTGGCCAATATAGTGAAACCCTGTCTCTACTAAAAATACAAAAATTAGCCAGGCATGGTGGCACATGCCTGTAATCCCAGTTACTTGGGAGGCTGAGGCAGGAGAATCTCTTGAACCCAGAATGCGGAGTTTGCAGTGAGCCGAGATTGCACCACTGCACTCCAGCCTGGCGACAGAGTGAGACTCTGTCACAAAAAAAAAAAAAAAAAATTAGCCAGGCATGGTGGTGCATGCCTGTAAACCCTGCTACTCGGGAGACTGGGGCAGGAGAATTGCTTGAACCCAGGAGGTGGAGGTTGCAGTGAGCGGAGATCACACCACTGCACTCCAGCCTGGGCGACAAAGCAAGACTCCATCTCAAAAAAAAAAAGAACTTACAGGCCGGGCGCGGTGGCTCACGCCTGTAATCCCAGCACTTTGGGAGGCCAAGGCAGGCGGATCACAAGGTCAGATGGAGACCATCCTGGCCAACATGGTGAAACCCCGTCTCTACTAAAAAATACAAAAATTAGCCAGGCTTGGTGGTGGGCGCCTGTAATCTCAGCTACTTGGGAGGCTGAGATAGGAGAATCACTTGGACCCGGGAGGTGGAGGTTGCAGTGAGCCGAGACTGCGCTATTGCACTCCAGCCTGGGTGACAGAGTAAGATGCCGTTGCCCCCCACCCCCAAAAAAAGAACCTACCGTATGGCATGAAGCACTGTGTGTTCATTTACTACTCCTTACAGCAACCCTGGGAAGAGGGTCGCCCTCTATTATGCCCATCTCTAATTCACTTCCTTCAGTACCCACATACTGTGAGTTTCCACATCCTGTCCATTCAGACTCCAATATTTCTACTCTGTCCCCTCTCTCCTGCCTCAGTGGCAATGCATGAGCTCAGGCTACCATCTAATTTGACATGAGGAGGTATGAGATCCACTAAGCTCACCACACATGTCACAGCCTTCAAGGGAGCCGCATTAGGACCTGGGTTTGGATTGAAGGGAATTTCTCTGTCGAGCCATAATTTTGAGACTGACTGAGATTCTCTGGATACTTCTTTCTGTGTCTCCCAACCCCAGGCCTAAATCTTTGACATGTTCTCAGAAAGTAATGTTTTATTAGTTTAACATTTACTGAGTACTTCCTGAGGACCAGGCATTTTTCTAGATACCCAGAAGATGTGGGGTACAAAATAATACCTTGTCCTTGTGGAGTTTGCTATTCTAGCTCCTTTTCCCTCTGAATAGTTGCTCCAGTCTCCTGCCTGTAGCCTCAGTAATGATCCCTCTTTCTCTGGGAGCAGGGGATTGCCAAGTAGTCTTTATACCAGAAGCTGGACATGGTCATTAACTAGACAAACTCCCCAAGAGTCAGGAATTCTGCATCCTGTCCTGACAGGGCCTGGGCAACTCTGTTCTGCCCATCCAGGGGCAGTAAGTGGTCTCTTATGTACCCCCCTCCTTTGGCCACCTCCACTCAAGAGAAGGGCAAGGTTAGGGACTCTTGGCGTCTTAGGTGCCCAGCTCAGCCATGCAGCATAGCACCCTGGGTACCTTGAGACCACAGAGGGACCCTGGTCTCCAGGACAAAAAGCCTATGGACTTAAGGTAGGACAGGGATCTTTCTGTTTTTGGTGTCATGAGAACTCAAGTAGACGTGACTTAGATTCATTTTGCCTTTAATGATCAAATGTCTGCTTCCCTGGTACATTCTGTTTCTTTGAACTGGGCTGCTTTGATATAGTTAGAAATAACAAAAATTTAGGAAATCAAACAAACTCAACTTTTAAAAGCAAAATATGTGACAGAAAGATTTGGCTCAGTGAATGTGCTTCAAATAGGAAAAGTTCGATCATAAATAGAAGGCTTACGATTTTAAGGGCCAAGAGGCTCATCTGAAGAATGGCTCCTGGGCCTTTCACAGCCCTAAGGAGTGAACACACACTTTGACATTTTTCTCCGTAATTTGGTCTGAGATGGTCATGTTGTCATAAATTCCAGGCTGAGAATTTCACTTTCTTGAAAGTTACCCTAACTCACTCAGAAGGACCCAGCTGATGAGTGGCCTGAAGATTTAGGTATCAACATAACCCACTCCCCAACACCCCCCCAGGCCTGTGTCTTCATTCTCCTATCCAAGGATCAGGGCTGTGGAAGTCCCCAGAGGCAGGTGCCTCCATGTGAGCGGAAGTGACTAGGTTTCCCAGAACCCTCTGCTGTAGGAGGGCTGTTTGGGAAGATGTCCATGGACTGCTTAGGGAATTATTACAAGTTCTGTTGCAGGGATGCGCTTGGGTGGGCTGGCTTCAGCTGAGGCTCTGAGGGACTTGGTTTGAAAAGGAGGAGAAGGAAAAGTAAAAAATAAACAAACCCAACCAAAAATTAAAAAAAAAAAACCACCCAAACAACGGTACAAAGGAAGCACTGTCCCTGTGAGCAGATGCAGATGGAGTGGTAGGGTCAGCCCAGCCCAGGTCACTGTCCCAGGCCCCCCAAAGCATTTGTGATGGGCTGGGAGGAAACACATCTCTGGTCCAGGGACAGCGTGGGACTAGGAAGAGGCCCAGGGGATAAATGACCACATTAGGACATCCTGCAGAACAGAGAGAGGGCCACAGGCTTTAGATTTGGAAATCGGAGGAGCAGAGGGTGCTTTCCACTTCTACTAATGGAACCCTGCCATGTAGACTGGCAAGTAGACTAATTCACGTGGCATAGTGAACATTCCAGCTGAAATTATATAGCTCAACTTCTGGCCGGGCGTGGTGGCTCACACCTGTAATCCCAGCACTTTGGAAGGCTGAGGCAGGCGGATCACGAGGTCAGGAGATTGAGACCATCCTGGCCAACATGGTGAAACTCCGTCTCTACTAAAATACAAAAAATTAGCCAGTCGTGGTGGCACATGCCTGAAGTCCCAGCTACTCAGGAGGCTGAGGCAGGGGAATCTCTTGAACCCCGGAGTCAGAGGTTGCAGTGAGCTGAGATCGTGCCACTGCACTCCAGCCTGGCAACACAGCAAGACTCCATCTCAAAAAAAAACAAAAAAATTTTACAGCTCAACTTCTAACTATATCAACCAACTGGACAACTGCCAAATCTCCCGGTCTCACTGGGATCCATGGACACAGCTGTAGGTTTCACTGTCAGGAGGCTGCCTGAGATCTGTGTCTACTTCTAACATATATGATCTCACTTGCACGTAGAGAGTTGGATAGACTACACGCTCTTTAAGGCCCTTTATGTTTCTAAGCATCTGTGATTTAATACAGATCCAGAGCTAAACACTATTAGGGACAAACCATGCTGTGAATGTCACTGGGTGGACAGCAGGGGAAGGAAGAACTCACAGACTAAACTCACCCTCTATGTTGCAAGACCCTACCCAGATCCTCTGAGACTCTTGGGAATGAGGCAGTTTGCAGGCTTCTCTTGACAATGTTATAACCAACTAAGATAGATCCTATTTTGTCTTATTTCACTTTTGGTATCTTGATAGGTCATTATTATCCACACCAAGAGACTGAATCTGTGAGAATCTCATAACAGTTCAGTTAAGGAATCCTCTTCAAGTCAGGGCTTATGGAAAGAGCACAGGTCTGTGAGCCAAGACATGAGGGTTCTAGGCCCAGCTTAAGTCATCAACTTGCCTCTGGCCTTGGCAATGCATCCCCTTTGCCAGGATCCAAGCTTTATCTCTTTCTCGCTACTTTCACATCCTGTAACTGTATTGCAGTACCAAGAACAGGAAAAGACAGGTCCCTAGCAAGGTCGAAGAAGAGATGGAGTCAGCATGGAAAGTTAGGGGAGGGTCATATTAGCCTGGGAACAATTCAAACCCTTGGACCCCTAATAACTCTGCTTGAATCTTTAAATGTTTGATGTCCACTGGCTGCTTTCCATCTTCCAAACCATCAGCTCTCACCAGGGCCTGAGGGCCTCCTGGAAGCACCAAGACTCACTGGGTCCCCATTTCTTTTCCGCATATGCACTCACCATTGGGAAGCAGAGCCAGAGAGACAGAGCATGGCATGAGGAAGGAGGCCACGTGCAGAGTGCAGTTGGGGAAGATGCTTCTATTTTGAAACTGCTGCAGGCCCCCAGCCTCAGTACCAGGGGAAGACCACACTCCTGGGTAAATAGCATCTGCTATTTTCCTTAGATGAAACTGCTTATCTGAAACAGGAAATGCAAAACACAGATTCTATTTTTCTGCACTATGTGTCTCTGATGGGAATAATAATAGTTGTGCAACCTAGAGTGTGATTATTAAACCTATCTTACGGTCACAAAGGAGCTGTAAGGAAGCCAAGAGGCACAGACCCCCGAGGGAGGATTTGGAGGTTTTACAAATTCCAAACGATTTTGCAGAGGAACTGGAGTAACCTACCACAGAGCAGAAGAGACGGACTCAAACTCCAAGTGCATCTGGTCTTCGTGGAGTTTGTCTTGAAACCAGAAGAATTTCCTCCGTGTGTTGTTCTCAGTCTTATCCATACAAGATTGTTCAACACTCAATCTAGAGGACATTTGTTGGATATAAATGTCTGTCTCCCTATAGCACAAAATAACTAGGACATTATTCCATGGAACATTCCATGCGTCCATAGAATAGTTTATTCCATGATCCAAATGGTCTGATTGATTCTTCCACCAAATTCCATAACTAATTACTCTCTGTGTGTGTGTGTGTGTGTGTGTGTGTGTGTGTGTGTGTGTGTGTGTTTGGGGGTGTGGTACTGATTAGCCAAGAGCTGAAGCCCTTGAGCTCCGGGAGAAAAGCACCCTTTTCTGAAAGCTTCTCATGGTGGGATCAGAGCCAGCCTTAGGATTTTAGTGACAGGTCTGAGACCAATATCAAGAGGGAAGAAAGAAGGGTCTGGATGATTTTGAAGCTATTTTTGTGGGAAAACGAGATGACTCTCTCATGCAGTACCAACCAGACCTGGAACTCAGGCACACACATACAGTGCTCCTATTATTCTTCCCTCAGAAGGAGGCTGGTCCTCTCTCCTCCACATGCTTCTAGTGCAGTGAGGGTCCATTCCTGACTCTCCCTCTGTCTCCACCCCTCACACCTCTCTCTGACACGGCCCTTGAGGCTCATTTCACCCATTTTTGCCTGGGTGAAAATAATGGAGGAGGGCAGTGATCCTGCCCCACACCTGACCCCCACCCATCAGCCCTTGCAGGGCTGAACAAGCTGAACTTGGGGATGAGATAAGAAAGAGTCCTGAGAAAAGAGGA
This sequence comes from Homo sapiens, assembly GCF_000001405.40. Taxonomy (NCBI): domain Eukaryota; kingdom Metazoa; phylum Chordata; class Mammalia; order Primates; family Hominidae; genus Homo; species Homo sapiens. The sequence continues at coordinate 195,599,004 of NC_000003.12, forward strand.
GAAGCAGAGGAAGACCAGAGTTATAACTTGGGGACAAAAGTGACCTTGCCTCTTTTTTTTTTTTTAATTTTGTATTTTTATTTTATTTTATTTTATTTTTTTGCAAATAGTGGGATCATAATCTTTTTTGTTTGTTTGTTTGTTTGTTTGTTTTTTATTGATCATTCTTGGGTGTTTCTCGCAGAGGGGGATTTGGCAGGGTCATAGGACAATAATGGAGGGAAGGTCAGCAGATAAACAAGTGAACAAAGGTCTCTGGTTTTCCTAGACAGAGGACCCTGCGGCCTTCCGCAGTGTTTGTGTCCCTGGGTACTTGAGATTAGGGAGTGGTGATGACTCTTAACGAGCATGCTGCCTTCAAGCATCTGTTTAACAAAGCACATCTTGCACCGACCTTAATCCATTTAACCCTGAGTGGACACAGCACATGTTTCAGAGAGCACAGGGTTGGGGGCAAGGTCATAGATCAACAGCATCCCAAGGCAGAAGAATCTTTCTTAGTACAGAACAAAATGGAGTCTCCTATGTCTACCTCTTTCTACACAGACACAGCAACAGTCTGATTTCTCTATCTTTTCACCACATTTCCCCCTTTTCTATTCCACAAAACCGCCATCATCATCATGGCCTGTTCTCAGTGAGCTGTTAGGTACACCTCCCAGACGGGGTGGCGGCCTGGCAGAGGGGCTCCTCACTTCCCAGACAGGGCAGCCGGGCGGAGGCGCCCCCCACCTCCCTCCCGGACGGGGCGGCTGCCGGGCGGAGACGCTCCTCACTTCCCAGACGGGGCGGCTGCCGGGCGGAGGGGCTCCTCACTTCTCAGATGGGGCGGCTGGGCAGAGACGCTCCTCACCTCCCAGACGGGGTCGTGGCCGGGCAGAGGCGCTCCTCACATCCCAGATGGGGCGGCGGGGCAGAGGCGCTCCCCACATCTCAGACGATGGGCGGCCGGGAAGAGGCGCTCCTCACTTCCCAGACTGGGCAGCCGGGCAGAGGGGCTCCTCACATCCCAGACAATGGGCATCCAGGCAGAGACGCTCCTCACTTCCCAGACGGGGTGGCGGCCGGGCAGAGGCTGCAGTCTCGGCACTTTAGGAGGCCAAGGCAGGCGGCTGGGAGGTGGAGGTTGTAGCGAGCCGAGATCACGCCACTGCACTTCAGCCTGGGCAACATTGAGCACTGACTGAGCGAGACTCCATCTGCAATCCCGGCACCTCGGGAGGCCGAGGCTGGCAGATCACTCGTGGTTAGGAGCTGGAGTCCAGCCCGGCTAACACAGCGAAACCCCGTCTCCACCAAAAAAATACGAAAACCACTCAGGCGTGGCGGCGCGCGCCTGCAATCGCAGTCACTCGGCAAGCTGAGGCGGGAGAATCAGGCAGGGAGGTTGCAGTGAGCCGAGATGGCAGCAGTACAGTCCAGCTTCGGCTTGGCATTAGAGGGAGACCGTGGAAAGAGAGGGAGAGGGAGAGGGAGAGGGAGAGGGAGACCTTGGGGAGAGGGAGAGGAAGAGGGAGAGGGAGAGGAAGAGGGAGAGAGAGAGGGAGCGACCTTGCCTCTTGTTGATTCCACATTCCCTTCCTTTGGGAAGATTTACATTCTCTATTTTATAGTAATCTGCCCAGTCCATATGGTTGGATGAGACTGGCTGGCTTTATCCTCTACCACCACTGCAGGGGGCAGGTGCATTACCCAGCCTGGACCCTTAGAGCAATCCCTCAGGCAGGACCCTGCATCCAGAGTGGTCAATCTTCCCTCAGATGTTTGCTGAATCTTTCAGGGAATACTCTCTTTTTCTTCCTTCAGTCACTACCATGAAGGACCTTGTCCACCCAGAACTTCCAGGGACCACATTTCAGGTAAGAGCCTTTTTGAGAATAAAGCAAAACAGAGGAACCATGGATCTATCACGGAACCCTTGGATCCATCTGTCCCTCAGGCAGAACCACCAGTTACTAATACAGGTGCATAGAAAGGAGGAGATCAGCCTGAGCACGGTGGCTCACGCCTGTAATTCCAACACTTTGGGAGGCCGAGGCGGGTGGATCACCTGAGGTCAGGAGTTTGAGACCAGCCTGGCCAACATGGTGAAACCCTGTCTCTACTAAAAATGCAAAATTAGCTGGGTGTAGTGGTCCATGCCTGTAATCCCAGCTACTTGGGAGGCCGAGGCAGGAGAATCACTTGAACCCAGGAGGCGGAAGTTGCAGCAAGCTGAGATCCCACCACTGCACTCCAGCCTGGGTAACAGAGTGAGACTCTGTATCAAAAAAAACAAAACAAAACAAAACAAAAAAAAAAACTAGAAAGGAGGAGATCAGAGGTGAATGTCCTCATCTTCTGGTGATGCTGTGACCAAAACTCAAAAGGACACGATGGAGAACCAGGAAAACCAGTGCTGTAATTCATTCCAGGCCTAAAGGCCCAAGAACCAGGAGCTCTGATGTTGAAGGGCAGGGGAAGATGGGCATCCCAGCTCAAGAGGAGAGGCAGAATTCATCCTTCCTCCACCCTTTTGCTCCTTTGGGCCCTCCATGGATTGGGTGATGCCTGTCTACATTGGTAAGGGTGATTTTCTTTACTCAATCAAATGATTCAAATGCAAATCTTTTCCAGAAACACCCTCACAGACACGCCCAGAAATAAATTCTTAGCAGCAATCTGGGCATTTCCTAGCCCAAGTGTTACTGGAAAGGGGTCCCGATCCAGACCCCAAGAAAGGGCTCTTGGATCTCATGCAAGAAAGAATTCAAGGTGAATCCATAGAGTAAAGTAAAAGCAACCTTACTAAGAAAGTAAAGGCATAAAGAATGGCTATCCCATAGACAGAGTGGCCCCAAGGCCTGCTGGTTGGCTATTTTTATGATTATTTCTTGATTATATGCTAAACAAGGGGTGGATTATTCACGAGTTTTCTGGGAAAGGGGTGGGCAATTCCCAGAACTGAGGGTTTCTCTCCTTTTTAGACCATATAGGGTAACTTCCTGACATTGCCATGGCATTTGTAAACTGTCATGGTGCCTGTGGGAGTGTCTTTTAGCATGCTAATGCATTGTAATTAGCATACAATGAGCAGTGAGGATGACCAGAGGTCATATTTGTAGCCATCTTGGTTTTGTCGGCTTCTTTACCACAATCTGTTTTATCAGCAAGGTCTTTGTGACCTGTATCTGTGCTGACCTCCTATCTCATGATGTGACTTAGAATGCTTAACCTCCTGGGAATGCAGCCCAGTAGGTCTCAGCCTTGTTTTACTCAGCGCTTATTCTAGATGGAGTCGCTCTGGTTTAAACACCTCTGATACAAGTTCACACATAAAATTAATTATCATAGTGGTTATGGAAGATTGAGATCATTCTAGACTTTGGTGAACTAAATTTTATAAGTTTCCTCCAGCCCTAATTATTGGCAGAGGTGTAAAAAAGACTACTAATAAGGAGGGAAAATAATTAAGGAAAAGAAATGTTAGTTTTGTGAGATTGTACCTTTTTGGTTTGGCCTTGAATTTAGTGCTTCTTAAAAGAGTGTGGAAGAAAAGGAAAGACCCTTATCTGTATTGTGAAAGGAAAATAAATCTTGGGGCCCCAGAATCATGAAGCTAAAGGGAAAAGTCAAGCTGGGAACGGCTTAAGGCAAACCTGCCTCCCGTTCTATTCAAAGTCACCCCTCTGCTCACTGAGATAAATGCATATCTGATTGCCTCCTTTGGAGAGGCTCATCAGAAACTCAACAGAATGTAACCATTTGTCTCTCACCCACCTGTGACCTGGAAGCCCCCTCCCCACTTGAGTTGTCCCACCTTTCTGAATGGAACTGATGTGCATCTTACATATATTGACTGATGTCTCATGTCTCTCTCGAATGCATAAAACCAAGCTATGCCCTGACCACCTTGGGCATGTGTTGTCAGGACCTCCTGAGGCTGTGTTACGAGTGTGTGGCCTGTGGCCTCAACCTTTGCAAAATAAACTTTCTAAATTAACTGAGACCTGTCTCAGATATTTGGAGTTCACATTTTGGTAACCACAGAGGGATTCTGAGTGGAGGTGCTTCTGACCTTTGCCAAATCTCCAACTGGTGCTTGGTACCAGCTTGAGCTATCTTTATGGCTCAAATCAACAGGACAATTTGCTGAGGCCTGGAAGGACCCTCTCCAGAGAATTCCTGATTTCCCAAAATTCAGTCATGATCTAAAGTTTATTTTGCTGTACAAGTCCTTTTTTTTTTTTTTTTTTTGGAGTTTTACTTGCTTCCAACACAAGGAAGGTAAGTTTTTCCTGCTTCTATGAAGATGGAAGGCAGGTAACTCCTTTATGGAGTTTGAACTCGCTTCCAACAGGGAAAACAAATTTCAGATTTCTCCTGCTTCTAGGATGGAGAGCAGTCTTCAGCCTGAGTCCCATCCCTAGGTAAGTAACTGAATTGGGGTTTGTCTTGGCTAAAGTTAAGATTAACAACCAGCTGGTCTTAATTTCTCCTTACCATTAGAGCACTCAGTGATCATATAAGTTGTGCCATCATTTGTTTTGCTTAACTGGTTTTTCTGTTGTTGTTTTGTTTGTTTCTGTTTTTGTTGTTGTTTTGGTCTTTTCCCCATTGGGTTTGATCAACTCTATCTGACTTGGTCAAATCTGAAGGAAAGTTCCAAATTATGGGGAACAAGGCCTCTGAAGTGGCTAAATTCCCACAAGAAAAAAAAAAAAAAAGAAAGGCCAGGCACAGTGGTTCATGCCTGTAATCCCAGCACTTTGGGAGGCTAAGGTGGGCAGATCACGAGGTCAGGAGATGGAGACCATCCTGGCTAACATGGTGAAACCCCATCTCTACTAAAAATACGAAAAAAAATTAGCCAGGCGTGGTGGCAGGCACCTGTAGTCCTAGCTACTCAGGAGGCTGAGGCGGGAGAATGGCATGAACCTGGGAGGCTGAGCTTACAGTGAGCCGAGATCACGCCACTGCACTCCAGCCTGGGTGACAGAGCGAGACTCCATCTCAAAAAAAAAAAGAAAAAAGGTGGTGCGACGTGGGGAGAAAAATAGCCAGAAAAAGGAAAAAAACAAAAACCAAAAATAAAAACAGGAAAGATTTTTGACTACTCAAGGGGCTTTATTTACATAATGAAGCCCCTTTTTGCTAGCCAGGCCAAGCTGAAAGAGCAATGGCTGTTGCCCTGCACTGCAGTTCCATAGCAAAAGGTTCTACCTTCTTTTTCTCTATCACAACAGCCTGGGTTTGGTTCCTAAATCAAGCCCTTTCTGCTTTGGTACTTGTCACTTCTGAAAGAACAGCATTTTTTTTTTCTAGCTGAAATATGGTAATAGATTTTAAAAGATGTTTTAAAAGGAGCTCAATGGTTAAAAGTCAGCTTAATTAAAAGCCAGCATCCAAGATGTATGTGTGTTTGTGTGTGTGTGTGTGTTTATTTAAAAGGCCTTCATGTTGTTGTTGTTTTTTCTTTCTCCTAGGACCTTGTCTCTTTTTTTGAGCAAAAATGTTTTTCTTCTCAGTTGACTGAATTCTGTTTTCTTCATTTACTTCTCCTGTCTCTCCTTTCTCTTGCACACGCTACTGCATGACGGACCTAAAATAGTTTATAATAGCCTGGGGTTCCTTAAAGAAAATGGAGAAAGCACAAGACTCCCTTTGGGGCACAAACTTGTTTTTCCTTATGGAACCACAAGAGTGTAAACAGACAAGTTCATCTCAGCTCTTAAACTGCTTGCCTTTGTACTGTTACCTGATTTATTGACAAAAATAGTTACTGCAACATAGGCTGCTCTCGGGTTTTTAAGGAAGAGTGTAGTTTAGACACTATGAAATGTGTTTAGAAAAAGAGATGAAGTTTTGCACTTGTTACCCAGGCTGGAGCACAATGGCACGATCTCGGCTCACTGCAACCTCTGCCTCCTGGATTCAAGCAATTCTCCGGCCTCAGCCTCCCAAGTAGCTGGGATTACAGGTGCCCACCACCACACCCAGCTAATTTTTGTATATTTAGTAGAGATGTGGTTTCACCATGTTGACCAGGCTGGTCTTGAACTTCTGACCTCAGGTGATCTACCCTCCTCAGCCTCCCAAAGTGTTGGGATTACAGGCATGGGCCACCAGTCCTGGCCAAAAAAAATTTTTTTAAGTGCACTGTAAAAGTGTCATGTGGTCTAGCCTCATAATAATTCTGCCTTTTTGGAAACCCAGGGTTCAGTGTGTGCTCTGCCCAGGGCTCAGAGATCCAGTTAAAAGATAAGTAGTCCCTATCTAAATAAAATTGGTCTCCTCATACAATTCTATGATAGATTTGCATAATTTTATGTTTGATTTGGCATCCATCTTGAATATCCCTCCAGCAATACCAGGCTTTCTCTCTCTCTACTTTGAGAAGTAAATTTTGCTATCTGATTTTTCACCCAAGAGTTGTTTCCTTCAATTGCAAATTTAGGGCTAATTAGCTGAAATAGGTTATCAAGAGTTTGCAAGTCTATGATAGGAAAAAAGGTAGGTTTTAGGGATCTATAATATGTGCTTCTATTGGTATGCTTAATAAATCTATGTATTTATGTGTTGTGTACACAATGTTTCACTACTAAAAATATATAAAAGAGCTCTAATCAATTGGCTTAAAGAAAAATAAAAGCACTTAAACCAAGTATTTTATCAAAAAAAAGGAAAGACTAGTTAAATGCTTTTTCTAGTTTCTGTGACTTAAGTAAAATCTTTAATAAATAAGCTAGCTTTAAAAGTATTGGTAAAGTAATATTAAAAATGTCTTAAGAATTGCCAGCATACAGTTTTGTTTGCATTTATTGATCAAGCAATTTCAAACTTATCCCTGCCAAATGCTATAAGGTGTCAAAATTTGGCATAGGGGGTTACAAAACTATAAACCCAGCTCAAAACAGAATGATCTTTGCTTGTGTCACTTTTAAATAAGTAAGACATTGATATTGGTTTAATGAAGATAGCTACTTCTTGAATTATTTAGTAAAATTATGGTAACTTCTAATCTCATGGCTTTAGGCAGTCTTGTCCACAGGCAGTAAGGAAATTTGCTTTGGGAAAGGACAGTTATCAACTTTGTTTCAAAGTAAACTATAAACTAAGTTCCTCCAAAAGTCCCGGAATGAACAAGGACAGCTTGGAGGTTAGAAGCACGATGGAGTCAGTTAGAGCAAATCTTTTTTGTTGTCTTAGTTAGAATCTTGCAATGACGAGTTTTGTAACTTTAAATGATGACTATCACAGTTTTCATAAATAATCTAGGTAAATGATTAAAATAAAATAATTAGGTAAATGTCATGGGATAAATACCTATAGACAAACTTGTGATAATTTAGAATCTAAAGTTAAATTAAATAATAGATATTTCATTATTTGGGTTTTTCCAAAAAAAAAAATTGTAGGAAAACATTCTTTCTAAAAAAAATGGCCTTTGTAAAAAGGTGAACAATTTTTGTCTAATTCAAAGTTCATTTAAAGATTATGTATAAAACAAGATAAAAGGAACTGGGAAATAAGAGAGATGTAAAGAAAGTTATAGAAATAAGGAGGTATTTTTTTTGTAAGAAAGCTTAAAGAGAAATAATTTTATATGAGAAAGAATCTTGTATGGTAAATTTAGTCCTAGAATAAAATGACTGGTTGTTTCAGAAAGAAGGATGTTCAGGAAAAAACAGAAAGTCCAAGCATGTCATTAATGGTCTGTGTAAGTCACAGTAAGAGGATTTATTTAAAACAAACCAAAACTTTTTTTGAGACAGAGTCTCGCTCTGTCGCCCAGGCTGGAGTGCAGTGGCGCGATCTTGGCTCACTGCAAGCTCTGCCTCCCGGGTTCACGCCATTCTCCTGCCTCAGCCTCCTGAGTAGCTTGGACTATAGGTGCCCACCACCATGCCCGGCTAATTTTTTGTATTTTCTGTAGAGACGGGGTTTCACCGTGTGAGCCAGGATGGTCTCAATCTCCTAACCTCGTGATCCGCCCACCTTGGCCTCCCAAAGTGCTGGGATTACAGGCATGAGCCACTGTGCCTGGCCAACAAAACTTTTATATGATCGAGTTGTCTATAACTACAGAGAAATTACAATGTTATAGAGATTGGCTTTGATGTAAAAAATACACTTACACACTAAATAGTTGATTAGAGCAATAAAATTTTCTTAAGGGATTGATTTACTCTTAGTAAATTATAGGAGATTTTAATTTTTTTAAAACCAAAGTTCAACTTTTATTGCATCTTGCCGTTTTCAGTTTTCACTCCCCTTTGAAAAGGCATGAAATAGTAACGCTCTCCTTCAACTCATTTTCGGCTCATATAAGTTTTTTTTCCCTCAACTTCTTTCTGTTGTGGCCTGATGCTAACAATGTTTTCTTAAAAGTCTAAAGGAAATGTTTTCTTCCAACATAATATTCTGTGCACTGCAGAAGGTCTCTTCTTTTGTCTTTTGGTAACTGGCTTAACAGATTTTGTCTTTTATCAAAATAATCCCTATGCCATTATTGTTAAGTTTTGGTTTGCTTAGAAAATAACTGAGATTAAAACTTTTTTTTTAAATTAAGGTTATTACATCCATGTATCTTTTTATATGTGCTTTTAAAGTCCTTGTGATATAGAGTACAGGGCTTTGAGTCCTGGGTCTGAAAAGGACATGAAGTCCTGCTAACTCTTAAATACTGGCAGTAATTAAAGCCTCATCTTCAGGCTCAGTAAAAGAAGCCAATCAAAATAAACTGCATTTATTTGCATTTTATTTTGCAAACACAGGGCCAGAAATTAAAGCTGTTCAATTCCTCAAAGGCCAGGGACTATCAGAGAAGAGGTGTGTGTGAGATTGTAAGGGCCAATGTCGAGTGATAAAATAAGCTCAGTTTCTCTATAAATTAACCATTAATGTCAAAGGCACACTAAGGCAAGACCAGCATATGGGTGCCTGTGTCAGATTAACATTTTCTTGAAGCATTAACTGACTCCCAAATAAAGGCTATAAAGGTTATAAAAGGCCTATGGAAGTTACAGCTTATGGTCAAGATTAAAACTTTATAGATTGTTCATGAAATTTTGGAAGTCAAATTTGATTGGCTTCATGCTGTTTTTATTAGGGCTTATTGTTTGGAAAATTAAGTCTCCTCTCAAAGAATGAAGGTTTTCACCTTTTTTTGAAGTTCTTGAGTTATCACTCTGGTTAAATGAATGATTTATTTACAATAACCTGTGATCCTATTTTGTGATATCAAGTGTTTTAAACCTTTGATATTTGACAAACTTTCCAAAGTCAAATTATAAACTATGTCTTTTACTGACCTAGTTAATCCTGTAAGATATTAGATTCCTAGGGGGAAATGTGAAAGGAAAAGAAATCTTGGGGCCCCCAAAATCACTAAGCTAAACGGAAAAGTCAAGCTGGGAGTGGCTTAGGGCAAACCTGCCTCCCATTCTATGCAGTCATCCCTCCATTCACTGAGATAAATGCGTATCTAATTGCCTCCTTTGGAAAGGCTAATCAGAAACTCAAAAGAATGCAACCATTTGACTCTCACCTACCTGTGACCTGGAAGCTCCCTCTTTGCTTGAGTTGTCCTGCTTTTCTGGATGGAACCAATGTTCATCTTACATATATTGATTGATGTCTCATGTCTCCCTAAAATGTATAAAACCAAGCTGTGCCCTGACCACCTTGGGCACATGTCGTCAGGACCTCCTGAGGCTGTGCCACAGGCATGCAGCCTCAACCTTGGCAAAATAAACTTTCTAAATTAACTGAGACCAGTCTCAGATATTCAGCATTCACAGTATCCAAAAATCCAATCACATCTGAAACTGCCTTTGCAAAAATTATCACAGTGAGAAAAAAATGGCAGTGAAAGAGATCTGACCTGGCCAACCTCCCTCTTGCCTTTAGCCTTCAAGCTGCTTTTAATTATTCCTGGGTTTAAGCCAAGCTACATGTGGGAGTCATTTAGTTTATAGTTTAAATGATAGTAACCCTTCCCTCAAACTCAACCAGCCTTGTAACACTGAGAGACCACCAGGCTAGGAGGAGGAGATGAACCTAAATTCTGCTAAGGTGTAGACATAAACAACTGTGAGGCATTATTCCAGAAGCCACAAGATATGCAACTTCCTCAGTTACCCCTGCAGATAATGTTACTTTTGTAGAACCTAGGATTGGCCTTCTGAGATATCTTCTCAGGATTTTTTGCATGTCTGATGACCGATGGCTCCACCGGGACCAGCTAGTGGCTTCTGTTTCCCCACCCAGAAGCAACTCAGAGAAAGAGGACAGCTTTGACGCCCTATGATTTCATCTCTGACCCAATCAGCACTCCCCATACCCTAGCCCACTACCTACCAAATTACCTTTGAAAAATCCCTAACCTCCAAGACTTAGATGAGTTTGATTTGAGTAATAACTCTGCCTCCCACATGATGTGGCTGGCATCATATCAATTAACCTCTTTCTTTACCGCAATGCCATGGTCTCCATGAACTGATTTTTTTTGTGCAGTGGGCAGGAAGAACCCATGGGGCAGTTACACATCTTGAAAGAGAAGCTCTTCCTGTGAGGTACATCAACTGTGGTTAAGAATCTTACGTACTTATCATTTTTTGTTGTTGTGAGAACATTTAACATCTACTCTTTTCTTTTTCTTTTCTTTTTTCTTTTTTTTTGAGGTGGCGTCTTACTCTGTTGCCCAGGCTGGAGCGCAATGGCGTGATCTTGGCTCACCACTACTTGCTGGGTTCAAGTGATTCTCTTGCCTCAGCCTCCTGAGTAGCTGGGATTACAGGCATCTACCACTCTTTTAGCAATTTTATTTATTTATTTATATAATTTTTTAAAAAATATCTTTAACTTTTATTTTAGATTCAGGTGGTATATGTGCAGGCTTGCTATATGGGTATATTGCGTGATGCTGAGGTTTGTGGTATGAGTGATCCCATCAGCCAGACAGTGGGCATTGTACACAAGCAATATACATAATGGTGTGGTATGGTGGCACATACCTGTAATCCCAGCTACTTGGTAGGCTGAGGCAGGAGAATCATTTGAACCCAGGTGGCAGAGGTTGCAGTGCACTGAGATCATACCACTGCACTCCAGCCTGTGCAACAGAGTGAGACTCTGTCTCAAAAAAAAAAAAAAGAAGGTGGTTTTATAATCAGCTATAAAACTCTAAAAGGTGCTCTTGAATGCAGGTTTCTGCTAACTTTGGAGATTGTGACATTAGAATAGAGGAAAAACTTTCGGGACTCATGGAGAGCTGAAATGTTCATGAATATCAAGCAGAACAGGAATTAACTGCATGGACTGAAGTAATCTTTTTGACTTTTTGCTTAAAACGTTGTTGATCTTTTGTTTTGTTTTTTCAGAGTCAAGGAAACTTTTCTTTTGAGCTATTGACAGCTTTTAACAAGTTATTGTACTCCTATGAACAAAATTTGGAGCATATTCATTTCTCTCTACCTGATTTCTCCAGAATTTGGCAACTGTTTGTGAGTATCCTTATCACAATATAGTTATTTGCATAAGTGCAATAATAATCTGTCTTTATTTGTAACAGGACACAATTGGAGAAACTGGTTATTTTACCAGCACTTTGACTAGAATGATGTGCTTTCCTTTAAGGAATTAAACTTGTTTTATGGAGCCAGTAAAAGCCACATGCTCTGTCTACACAGTCGCTGAACAGGGTTCCTGCCCTGTGGTAAGTAAAGAATGTCACTTTCCGACAGGCCCAGGAGCCCCAAGTTTTACCTTGGACCCTCAAAAGGAGAGGAATTCATGCAACTCATAGGTATTTGATGGTACAAATCCATGGCAGGGCTCAGCTTTAAACAAGTCTTTTCTGAGATTCCTTCTATGGAACAAAGTTTCATCAAAGCCAATTTAAAAGCCTGTGTAAAAAAATAATTATTCTAGCTGCACTGTATACAAATAATCAGGCCAAGAATAATAAAGGAAATCAGTCCTACCATGATTTGTCTTTAGTAAAAATGAGAAACTGGAGAGAGAAAAACTATGTTTTAAGAACTATAGTACACCTGTTGTTAGATTCTAGTCTTGCCTAATGTTTTTCCATTTTTATTATTTTCTGCAGTTTGGACCAAATTCTAATTTTTCTTGGCTACAAGTCTTCAAAATAATGTTTTCCATTTTTTCCCTTTCTTTTTTCCCATTTTTCCTAATTTGGAGTTACTGAAAGCTAAGCTGTGCTTTTTGAAGCCCTGTGAACTGAAGCTAGACAACTTAAACTTCAGAAGAAAATAACAGCAGCCTATTTACATATATAAGCTACTTTCATACCTGCCTACTGACGTATGGACTTCAGAGTAATGTGGCCTATATCGATTTTCTAGGATCGTTATTTTGTTTGTTGTTTTTCTCCCTTCCTCCCCCTATTTTCTCTTCACAGGACATGAGGATTCTCAACCTGCTAATAATGAGCTACCTATCTAGGGTAGCTATTGGGACCTACCTATCTAGGAATAAACCATCCTAGCCATGAGAGACCCGATGAAACCTCAGACCAGAGACTCATTTTCTTCTAAAATGCTTTCTCCAAAAGATTTTTAAAAAGAAAAGGGGGAAATGTGAAAGGAAACTGTCTTGGGCCCCCCAAAATCATGAAGCTAAAGAGAAAAGTCAAGCTGGGAACGGCTTAGGGCAAACCTGTCTCCCGTTCTATTCAAAGTCACCCCTCTGCTTACTGAGATAGATGCATATCTAATTGCCTCCTTTGGAGAGGCTTATCAGAAACTCAAAAGAATGCAACCATTTGTCTCTCACCCACCTGTGACCTGGAAGCCCCCTCCCTGCTTGAGTTGTCCCACCTTACCAGACTGAACCAATGTTCGTCTTACATATGTTGATTGATGTCTCATGTCTCCCTCAAACGTGTAAAACCAAACTATGCTCTGACCACCTCGGCACATGTCACCAGGACCTTCTGAGGCTGTGTCATGGACGCGAGTCCTCAAACTTCGCAAAATAAACTCTCTAAATGAACTGAGACCTGTCTGAGATATTCGGGGTTCACAGTTTGCTGTCTCTCTTCACTAGGAGAGTTGTTCCGTGAAGGCCGGGATCTCTTTTACTGAGTGATGTATTCCAAGTGCCTGGAGCAATGTCTGGCATGTAGAAGGAATTCCGTACGTGCATTAAATTAATGAACTAGCCTCCTACGCTCATTCAAGGTGAGAGCTGAGTTTGGCTAAAATATGGCCCAGGAACTTTCTGCATAAGACTCTTATGGCCCCCAGGGCTAACAGTCATCTGCCCAGGCTTGTAAATTTCCCAAATACCGAGGAAAATGGTCCAAAATTCAGCAAACCCAGGGAAGCTCTCAGCCAGGCTTCCTTTCCAGGGATTCCTCACTTCCTCATCTGCAACAGGCTGGGGTGGACTCACTTGCTGCTGGAATGAGGAAGCCCCTATCCCTGCGGGGGCGGGGCTGGAGGAGGGCTGGGGTGGCTGAGAGGAGCTGCATTGGTGCTTAGTCTCTTCTCCATCTTCCCTTGGGCTAAGCCTCACAGTGGGTCGCAGCTACTAGATGGGGTCTAAGAGAATACAGTCCTTGCTGTGGCCCTGCCCTCCTCTCCCTACCTGACTCCTCCTGGGGGGAGTCCTTGTCTCATTTGATAAGCAAAGAGCTGGGGCTGAGTGGAGGATGGAAGGGGCTCAGCCTACAGATCAATGGTGTCCAAGATCCCCACCCCAAGTGCTGGGTTTTGTCCCCTATGGACCCCCCTCAGCCTCTTCTGGGGAGTCTTCCTCCTCCTATTCCCTCCCATTCCCTCCTTCTTCCCAGCAGCACAGCCCAGAGCAGAGTAAATTTCTGGAAGACAATGTCACGCCCAACGCAGAACCCCAGACCATGGGGCCAAAAGGACCCTGTAGATCATGTTGACGGAGGCCCAGAGAGGGCAGATAACTTGTATGTTCACACAGCTTCTTGGTCAGTGTTAAGAGTAAATTTCTGGAAGACAATGTCACACACCCAATGCAGAACCCCAGACCACAGGGCCAAAAGGACCTTGTAGATCATGTTGATGGAGGCCCAGAGAGGGCAGATAACTTGTACGTTCACACAGCTCCTGGGTCAGTGTTAAGGAGAGAGCTGGAAATGGAACCTGGACCTTCTGATTTTCTTTTCCTTTTCTTTTTTCAGACAGAGTCTTGCTCTGTTGCCCAGGCTGGAGTACAGTGGAGCAATCTTAGCTAACCGCAACCTTCACCTCCCAGGTTCAAGCAATTCTCCCACCTCAGCCTCCCGAGTAGCTGGGATTACAGGCGTGCACCACCACACCTGGCTAGTTTTTGTATTTTTAGTAGATATGGGGTTTTGCCATGTTGGTCAGGCTGGTGTCGAACTCCTGGCCTCAAGTGATCCCCCACTTTGGCCTCCCGAAGTGCTGGGATTACAGGCATGAGCCACCACACCTGGCTAGTTTTTGTATTTTTAGTAGAGATGGGGTTTCGCCATGTTGGTCAGGCTGGTGTCGAACTCCTGGCCTCAAGTGATCCACCCACTTTGGCCTCCCGAAGTGCTGGGGTTACAGGCGTGAGCCACTGCACCCGGCCTGGATTTAAAGTTCTTTCCAGCTCTGAGATGTTGTGATTCCCTGATGCGGATCCAGCAGGCTTTCTTCTACCCAAGAGCTGCCTTCATCAGCGCTCCTGCCCTGAAATTCCCAAGCTACCTTGTCTGGTCACTGGCCAGTGGCCATAACAGTTCACGTCCGTGGCACATGGAGGGAGTAAGATTCTTCTCTAGGGAGTTTGGAAATATATTTGGTAACTGCATGTCCCTTCTCATGGCTGAATCTCTAGCTTGGCTGAGTCATCACCCTCACGCGTCCTCTCTTCCTAGGCCTTGAGACCAGATGAGTGCACTCATCTTTTCCCTCTTCCCAGCTAGTCTCTTCTCCAGCCCCGTGCCTTCGGTCTGGCCAATGTTCCTGGCTTTGACTGGGATGCAGAATCACAGGATGATGAAGATGGAAGGATGTTAGCAATTAGAGTTGTCCCATACTGGGGAGCCGTCTCTTCTCCCCAACGCTTGAGGATCAGAATGGATGTCGGGGTTCTCGCTCATTTACTGAGCACCTAAGATGTATATATTTTTGATAAGCATCAGCTGTGTAGCAGGCACTGTGTAAGAGCTTTACTGTCGCATGTGATCCTCACGACAACAGCCCAGCGAGGTAGGTTTATCCATTTACAGAGCAGGAAGTGAAGGTTCAGCCTGGCTCTGAAATTTGCCCTTGGTGATAGAGCTAATCATGCCCAGGACCAGGAATGAAACCCAGGTCTGACTCAAAGCCCAAGCTCCAGGCACGGGAGGGGGTGATGGTGAAACGTGACCTCCTGTGGCCTTCCCAGCACAAGACTGAGGGGTCGATGAGGAAGTGATTTGGCTGGGCATGGTGGCTCACGCCTGTAATCCCAGCACTTTGGGAGGCCGAGGCAGGCAGATCACCTGAGGTCAGGAGTTCGAGACAAGCCTGGCCAACATGGTGACACCCCGTCTCTACAAAAAATACAAAAATTAGCCCGGCATGGTGGCACACGCCTGTAATCCCAGCTACTCGGGAGGCTGAGGCAGGAGAATTGCTTGATCCCAGGAGGAAGAGGTTTCAATGAGCCGAGATCTCACTACTGTACACTCCAGCCTGGGCAACAGAGAGAGACTCCATGTCAAAAAAAAAAGCTACTGATTCCACATCTTCAAATTAAATTTCAGTGGAGTGTTTACTGGGCAAGGAAGGCAGGGGGGTCATCTTGCTGACAGCCTCAGCCTGCACATTTGTGATCACTTGGCCACATCCTGGAAACTACTCAGTCACACACCTGGGCAGGAGGCTGCCCCTCCTCCCCGGTTTGAGGTAGCAGGAAAAGGTACCCGCGAGAGACAGCCAGCAGTTCTGTGGAGCAGCGGTGGCCGGCTAGGATGGGCTCTCTGGGGTCTGACTCTGCCCCTTTTCTTCTTCTGCTGGGAGGGTGGGGTCTCTAGGAGCTCTGCAGGTAAGGAGGCCTAGAAGGGCCTGGTGGGCCTCTCCCCTAGTAGGGCTCTGGGAGTGAATTTCAGTATGAGACACCCTTCATGGGCAAGGGCAGGCTCTCTCGGGTTGATTATAATGAACCACAGTGCTACCTGTGAAGTGCTATTATTGTTGATAAAGAGTGTGCAAATGACGGTGTGAGTGAGTGTAAGCGTGCATGGCGCTGCAGTACACACTAATCAACCATGACCATGAGTGTGAGTGTAAGCGTGCCTGGCGCTGCAGTACACACTAATCAACCATGACGCTGCCATCATAAGGGGTGGCTGAGAGTTTGTCTTTATGAACGTGGGACAGTAAGTGGGGCACGGAGCGGGGGTGCAGGGAGGTGCCAGCTGGTGATCATTGTGCAGAAAGCTGAAGAATGTGGCTTAACAAGATTCTGACTCCTCCCAGTTTATTACCTAGCATGGATTTCCTTCAAAATACAGATTTCGTGTGAAAAGTCCAACTGCCACAAACTGCTTGGGAAGGGTGGATGCTGACAGGCAGGGCTTTTGTGAAAGACGGGAATGAACCCTGACCTGTCGCTAATAGGAGTTGTGCCAAACTCATCACATACATTAAAAAATAGAAAAGGATTTATTATTTTTTTTTTTTAGAGCAGTTCTATGCTCGCTCTAAACCTCGAGTGGAGAGGCCGAGTGTGGTGGCTCACACCTGTAATCCCAGCATTTTGGGAGGCTGAGATGGGTGGATCACCTGAGGTCGGGAGTTCGAGACCAGCCTGACCAACATGGAGAAACCCCGTCTCTACTAAAAATACAAAATTAGCCGGGGTGGTAGCAGGTGCCTGTAATCCCAGCTACTCGGGAGGCTGAGGCAGGAGAATTGCTTGAACCTGGGAGGTGGAGTTTGCAGTGAGCTGAGATCGCACCGTGGCGCTCTGGCCTGGGCAACAGGAGTGAAACTATGTTTCAAAAAAAAAAAGCTGCAGTGGAGAGTCTGGAGTTCCCATCCCCACCACTCACAGCCTCCCCCATCATCAGCGTCCCCCACCAGAGTGGCACATTTGTTAGGACTGAGGAACCTACTTTGACGCATCATTATCATACATTGTATTTTTAATCCTCACAACGGCCCTGCAAGATCGGCCCTGTTCTTACCACCCCCCACCTCCACTGCTTTGAGGATGAGGCCACTGTGCTTCTGGGCATCCAGTAACAACTCCTCGGAGCCAGGATCTGACTCCTCACAGGCCTGAGCACTGCACCCCGTGGCCTCCTGCCTGTGCTCACCGTGGCCTGGTCTGCGCTGCACGTGTCCCGTTAGCTCCACCTTACAGGTGCGGAAATGCAGGCTTGGAGCTGAGAGACTTGGCCAGGGTCACAGGGCAGAGAGCAGATTCTCCAACTCAGGGTCCCAAGTCCACACGCTTTCCTCTCCACCAGATTTGAAGATTGTACCAGGAGAGCCGCAGTGTTCCAGAGCTACTGAGGGGCTGGGCCGGGATTTGCTGTATTCGAGAAGACCCCCTTGGACCCGAGAGGCTGTGGGCTTGGGGAGCATGAGGAGGTTTCACAGCAGAAAGGACACCCCGGGGCTCCTGGATAAGCCAGAAAATGTGCCAGGGGAAGTCGGGCTCCAAGGGCACCACTCTGGGCTTCCAGCTGTGTGGGCTGGACCAAGAAGGCTCAGAGAAATGATCTCAGGCTTGAAGTGGGGAGAAGAAACTGTATTATGAAGGCAGATGAACAGTTCCTGCAAAAGTGAGATTTGTGTGTGCAGCTGGGCCGCACCGGACCAGGGATGAGACTGGGTGCCCGGGACTCGCCTATACTGCCTGGGGGTGCAGCCCGCACTCCTCACTATAGTCAAATCGACTATGCGTGCTTTCCAGGGGCCTGGGAGAGGACTCCATGTGGAGGGATGCTTACCTTGTGGGCTTTGGAATATAAGCCCTTTCATCTTCTCCGCTGGTCCTCACCACGTTGGCAAGGCAGGTATTGTGACCCTGTTTTCTCAGGTGAGGACATGGAGGCTGAGAGGGGTCTAGAGACTGGCCTGGCTAGTAGGAGGCTGAGTCAGGATTTGAACCAGCAGATCATCTGACCCCGGAGCCAGTCGTGGGCAGCACAGCGGGAGCTGCAACCGAGGCTCTTGACTCCTGCCTCGTCATTCCCTGAGGTCCACAGGACAACCAGTTGGGGACCTGGGGCCCCATCCTGATGCCCTGGGGAGAGGTGCTAGGCCCCTTTTGGGTCTATGGGCTACTTTTGGGCCAGTGGAGCTGGGTAAAGACCATCTCAAACCCTGTGCCAGGGGAGGTCAGACTCCAAGAGCGCCACCTTTGGGCTTCCAGCTGTGTGGGCTGGACCAAGAAGGCTCAGAGAATTAGGGGGTTCGTATTTGATCCTTTTCCTTCCAAGACTGGGATTACCAGATAAAACACAGGGCATCCAGTTACATTTGAATTTCAGGTAACAATTTTTTTAAGTGTAAGTATGTAGCCAATATTGCATGAGAAATACTCATGCTAAAAAGTTATTCGTCGTTTATCTGAAATGCAAGTTCAAATTTAACCGAGTACCCTGTATTTTTATTTGCTAAATCTAGAAACCCTCTCCAAGAGGCTCCTTGGCCCACTCACAGGGAGAGCCCGATCTCCCTCTAGACAGGGGAGGCCCCCTTTCTCAGGCCAGAAAAGATCTTGTAGTAAACTACTCAAGAGGCTGAGGCAGGAGGATCGCTTGAGCCCAGGAATTCAAGACCTGCCTGGGCAACAGAGCAAGACCCTGTCTCTAGGGAAGATATCCTACCGTAGCCTCCCTCGGGGACTCCCATTCCTCCCACCTCAGGGCCAGTCAAGGGAACAGGCCTCTGCTCTGGGCAGAAGTGCCGGCAGCCGCTCTCTGAAAAGCTAGGTGTTGCCTCAGGGGCTCCCGGTGTCCTGTGGAAAATGCCTGGCCACGGTTTCCATGGTTCCCAGGCTCCAACCCTGCAGTTCTCGGCCCTCATTCAGGAGGGGCCTCGGCAGGGTGGGGGGTGCCGTCTTTCCCTTGCCGGAGCCCCAAGGACTCTGCCGGCTCCCTCGCTTTGGCAGCAGCACTGCCCACCCTGTCTCTGGAGGTTCCCCCGCCTCAATCCACCCAGCTACCCCGAAAGGCACAATCATAGGCCTTTCTCGTCTTTTAAGGGTTTTTACTTCCATGGGGAACTATGTGTTGGATGAGAAAAGTACCCGGGGAAGGCGACAGAGGTTCAGAAAGCTCTGCGAGTCCTGGACGCTGGTCTGCCTTCTTGGCTCACCCTGGAAGGTGGACGCTGGCCCCACACATCCCCTCTTAAAGACGCAGGCCGATAGCCAGCAGATCCTGGGGCTTGCTGGCCCCAAGTGAGTTGTCAGGGTTTCAGAGGACGCCAGTCATGGCAACCCCAGCTCCATGGCTGCCACACAGGCCTGGGCTTCCCAGGACTGCCTCCTTCTTGTTCGCTTATGTAGATGAAAAATGAGGTAACGGCACTCCCCTGCCCCACCCTCCTCCCAGAAGTGCCCAGGGTGTAAACGCAATAGCTTGTGTGAAGTCCACTGGAACCCAGGCTCACCAAGTCAGTCTTAACCAACACAGGCCCCAGCACCCGCAGAGCAGACACTGCGATGACAACGGACGACACAGAAGTGCCCGCTATGACTCTAGCACCGGGCCACGCCGCTCTGGAAACTCAAACGCTGAGCGCTGAGACCTCTTCTAGGGCCTCAACCCCAGCCGGCCCCATTCCAGAAGCAGAGACCAGGGGAGCCAAGAGAATTTCCCCTGCAAGAGAGACCAGGAGTTTCACAAAAACATCTCCCAACTTCATGGTGCTGATCGCCACCTCCGTGGAGACATCAGCCGCCAGTGGCAGCCCCGAGGGAGCTGGAATGACCACAGTTCAGACCATCACAGGCAGTGATCCCAGGGAAGCCATCTTTGACACCCTTTGCACCGATGACATCTCTGAAGAGGCAAAGACACTCACAATGGACATATTGACATTGGCTCACACCTCCACAGAAGCTAAGGGCCTGTCCTCAGAGAGCAGCGCCTCTTCCGACGGCCCCCATCCAGTCATCACCCCGTCACGGGCCTCAGAGAGCAGCGCCTCTTCCGACGGCCCCCATCCAGTCATCACCCCGTCACGGGCCTCAGAGAGCAGCGCCTCTTCCGACGGCCCCCATCCAGTCATCACCCCGTCACGGGCCTCAGAGAGCAGCGCCTCTTCCGACGGCCCCCATCCAGTCATCACCCCGTCACGGGCCTCAGAGAGCAGCGCCTCTTCCGACGGCCTCCATCCAGTCATCACCCCGTCACGGGCCTCAGAGAGCAGCGCCTCTTCCGACGGCCTCCATCCAGTCATCACCCCGTCACGGGCCTCAGAGAGCAGCGCCTCTTCCGACGGCCCCCATCCAGTCATCACCCCCTCATGGTCCCCGGGATCTGACGTCACTCTCCTCGCTGAAGCCCTGGTGACTGTCACAAACATCGAGGTTATTAATTGCAGCATCACAGAAATAGAAACAACGACTTCCAGCATCCCTGGGGCCTCAGACACAGATCTCATCCCCACGGAAGGGGTGAAGGCCTCGTCCACCTCCGATCCACCAGCTCTGCCTGACTCCACTAACACAAAACCACACATCACTGAGGTCACAGCCTCTGCCGAGACCCTGTCCACAGCCGGCACCACAGAGTCAGCTGCACCTGATGCCACGATTGGGACCCCACTCCCCACCAACAGCACCATAGAAAGAGAAGTGACAGCACCCGGGGCCACGACCCTCAGTGGAGCTCTGGCCACAGGGAATCCCCTGGAAGAAACCTCAGCCCTCTCTGTTGAGACACCAAGTTACGTCAAAGTCTCAGGAGCAGCTCCGGTCTCCATAGAGGCTGGGTCAGCAGTGGGCAAAACAACTTCCTTTGCTGGGAGCTCTGCTTCCTCCTACAGCCCCTTGGAAGCCGCCCTCAAGAACTTCACCCCTTCAGAGACACTGACCACGGACATCGCAACCAAGGGGCCCTTCCCCACCAGCAGGGCCCCTCTTCCTTCTGTCCCTCCGACTACAACCAACAGCAGCTGAAGGACGAACAGCATCTTAGCCAAGACCACAACCTCAGCGAAGACCACGATGAAGCCCCCAACAGCCACGCCCACCACTGCTCGGACGAGGCCGACCACAGACATGAGTGCAGGTAAGTGGCTCCTGCTGGTGATCTTCGGGGATTTGGGATGCGGAGTTTCCAGGACGTCTCCGCACTTGAGGAGTGGAGAGGAGGGAAGGATCTGGAGCCTACTCACAGCCTGCTCCTGCTGTTGCCTCTTCGTGATCTTCTAGTGGTTCTTGGCGAAATCAGGAAAAGGCAGATGGAGGGTTGTGTATGGAAAGGGGT
Organism: Homo sapiens; assembly: GCF_000001405.40. Lineage (NCBI taxonomy): Eukaryota > Metazoa > Chordata > Mammalia > Primates > Hominidae > Homo > Homo sapiens. The sequence goes on from NC_000003.12 coordinate 195,620,428, forward strand.
GGGGATGGAAGTCCGGAGAAATGGTTTGCGGTCTTGGCTCTGCCTGTAACAACCCGAGTGACCTTGGGCAAGTCCCTGTCCCTCTCTGGGCCTCAGTTTCTCCACCTGTATTTGGAGAGGGTTGGAATGGGCACTGAAGTCCTGTCCAGCTCTGACCTTCTGTGAAGTGCACTGTTGAGCAGCTCTGGAAGCTTCTGTTCCAGCCATAGCCACACAGAGGAGCAGCAGGCAGGCATCAGGCCCAAACTGCTGCTCTCTGATGGGCTTGGACCCCATGAAAGTGGGGCCTGCTGGATGCATTTCCTGGGATTCTGTGGAAGCTGATCAGGTTGCTGGGGCAAGTGGAGGCAGGATAGAGGTGAAGGGCTGTGGGATGGAGAACCTCAGAAGACTCCATCTGGGGTCCGGGAAAGGACAGAGAGGGTATATGAGGGGTCGGGCCCTCCAGATCTAAGGGTGGGGTGGTGGCATGTTTCTTGAGTTGGTTCCTGGAAAGGGAGCTGAAATGGTTTAATCGCTCTTCCATGAAACGCAGGCGGTGAGGACAGCCACCAGACAGGTAAACACACTGTGCATTGATCCTTTTACGACTTTTGTGAAACTGATGGACAGGCAGGCAGGGAGGAGTCCTGGGAGAGAGTCTGGGGCACTCCATCTTGGGGTAACTCTTTTGCTCTCCTCCTTTAATTATAATTATTAAATAATTAAATAATAAATAATTAGAGAAGTGCACAGATACATATGCCCCTGGACGTTCAGATCAGCGTGGTGGATAATAGTAACGTTTCAGAAGTAGGGTCTGGTTAAATAAACTACTGCACATCTTTACCAAGGGATGGTGCTTCCTATGGAAAAAGTTTCCTAAGGAAAAAGGTTCCTGTGGAAAAAGGTTCCTGTGGAAAAAGGTTCCTATGGAAAATGCTTTCCTGAAGAGCACATGCTTTGAAGGTGGCCAGACTTGGGTGGAAACTGAAACTCTGCTAGTGACTAGATGTGTAATTCAGGGAACATTCCTTCACTCTTTCAGCTTCAGTTTCCTTATCTTTAAAAGGAAATGATCATAATAGCACTTATGCTGCTGTGAGATTTAAATGAGATAATGTGTCCACAGTACTCAGTACAGTGCCGGACACACAGTAAGCACTCAAACAATGGTAATGATTATTATAATGTATTTTAAAATATGACACTATATTCAAACATACCATTATAATATGTCAAATGGGAATGTGGACACAATATATGAGACAACCTGTTCACAACTGTTTAATGAGGAGGTTATCCAACATTAGGAATGATTTGATCCTTCAATAAAAAATCAATGTGTGAAGGTTCCTAGGCATGAAAGAAAGTTCAGAAGGATATGTACGAAATATTGTTGTCTCTCTGGGGATTGGGATTACAGGGATTTTTTCCTCTTTTCTTTTTGTTAAGTTTGTGTTTCCTAAAGTTTCTGCAATAAACGTACGATGCTTGTATAATAAAAATTATAGGTTTTCCTTAATTGCATAGTCAGGGCTTGCCTCCCTGCGCCTCCTACCCCAACTCCCCAACATACAGTAGTTCTGAGGGATTTCACCCCCTGCTCCGGGAGAGAGCGGGCTTAGCCTGGATTCTGGGAGAAGCTCTTGCTTGGTCCCAGACCCAAGTAAAACAGCAGTTCCTGTTGTGTTTGGGGTGTGGCCACTGCCCTGCCCTATACAGAAAATAGGATGCGTTGCGTTATTCCTTTGTTTCTCTGACAAGCTTGCCAACTTATTCCTGTTCCGGGAGAACCGGGGGCTGTCAGCACTGAAAGGGGGCTCAGAAATCCCATCTCATTTTCAGATGGGGGTGCTGAGGCCTGGCCTGGGGAAGGTGCTTGGAGGGTGTTGAGGCCTGGCCTGGGGAAGGTGCTTGGGGGTGTTGAGGCCTGGCCTGGGGAAGGTGCTTGGAGGGTGTTGAGGCCTGGCCTGGGGAAGGTGCTGGGGGGTGTTGAGGCCTGGCCTGGGGAAGGTGCTTGGAGGGTGTTGAGGCCTGGCCTGGGGAAGGTGCTTGGGGGTGTTGAGGCCTGGCCTGGGGAAGGTGCTTGGAGGGTGTTGAGGCCTGGCCTGGCCTGGGGAAGGTGCTTGGGGGCGTTGAGGCCTGGCCTGGACTGGGGAAGGTGCTTGGGGGCGTTGAGGCCTGGCCTGGCCTGGGGAAGGTGCTTGGGGGTGTTGAGGCCTGGCCTGGCCTGGGGAAGGTGCTGGGGGGTGTTGAGGCCTGGCCTGGCCTGGGGAAGGTGCTTGCACAGGGTGACATCATTTCAGGGAGTAGTTGCCTCTGTCCCTGGCCAGTCTCCAGTCTCCAGCTTCATATCCTCCCACTGGAGAGCAGAGACGATGGGGGTGTCCCTGTGTATGCTTAAGTGCAATGGCATTTTAAGAAAACTATTAGCAATTTTATGAAACTAAATTGCTGCTGTTTTATTAGCAGCCACAGTCAGCAAGGCCCTGGCTGGGTGCTTGCTCCGTGAAGCTGTATACGTGTGACTGCCTCAGCAGCGCTGGCTGCTCCTGCTCTTGAATCTAAAAAGCAGCTGGACAAAATGTTCACGTTTTCGCTCAAAACCAAACAAACAGAAAAACTCAATTAGCTTGTTTGTGTGGGCTGAAGCACCTCTGTTTGCCCGCCCCCCGCAGTGACCCCCATAGTGTCCCCGGAATGGACGGACTCACGGGCTGTCACATCGCGCACGTCTTCCCCGGAGAAGGGATGTGAATCTTGGTGGGGTGGGGGGCACTACCTGGCCCAGCACAGGGTGCAGGTGGGTGACCCGGGAGACTCTCCCCGCTCCAGACCTGTCATCATGTTGCCATCTGAGGCGGCACTCACAGGTTTGCGGGGCTGCACATCTTTGGGGGCCTCCACTCAGCCTGGCACAGTGTGTGCCCAGCAAGTAGACGACCGCATCCTCGCCAGCATACATGTGCTAGAAACTTCTGTCAGGAAACGCCGCTCTTCACAGCCAAGGGTGGAAACTACTGGATGCATTGCAGAGCTGACGCCCTCCCTCCGGCCTGGCTCCGAGCCATGCCTGGTGTGGTGGAGGGGTGGAGGCCACCCTCACCGGGCCCTGTGTGCTGCTCTGATGCCGCTGAGGGGGCCGGGGCCTGGGTGTGCCCTCAGCGCATCCACTGCAGAGGGGAGCCTGCGCCCACGTTTTGGCTCTGTGGGTAAAGGTGGCCACCCCCTGAGCTTGTAGAGGTGTGGGACACTTCCCGATGCTGCCTGCCATGATTTTACATGAAAAGCCAGGAAAAGGCACTGAGGAGCCACCTGACCCCACGGAATGCCATTTCCTGGGGTTGCTTGGCCAGAAGTCATTGACACAGCCCTGCCAGCCAGAAGCTGGGGCAGGGACGGGGTCCTGCCTTCTGGGACAGGTTCTGTGTGTGCGTGACCATGTCCCAGAGGTCTCTGCTCAGCCCTGGGGGCGGGTGGGGGTGGGGTTGGAGGGTGGATGGTGGGGGTGGGGCCAAGTTAGCCCGAGCGGTCTGTGAGGTGAGAAGGGCCGGGGTCTCTCCTCCTCTCCTCCGCACCCCACCCCGCCTTGCTCTGAATCTCTCCCTCTCTCTGTCTCTGTTGGTCTCTTTCCCTCTCTACTCCCCATTCTGGTGTCTTTGGAGCCCTGGGTAAGGTGTGTGCTGAGTCCGGTCTGGTTTGGGGTAGATGTTCTTTGATCTGTTACCACACCTGGAGGGAAAGCCCCTGGCCCGCCCCCCCTCCGTTCCTGCAGAGCCAGGCCCCCCAACCAGTCGGTGGGCAGGATGCCCACCAGTTGCCCCCATCTGGCCCAGGGGGACCTTTCCTCTGCTCTCCAGGGACCACTGCAGGTGGTGTGGCCCCTGAGGGGAGCATAAGGGTGCAGTGCCTGACTCAGGGGACACAGAAGCCCCGTCCATACGGCCTTTTACACAGCACAGCACCCAGCCCTCGGCAGCCCAGAGCAGGAACCAACAGGGTAGGTGCCCAGGGGCCCCAAAGGTCAGAGTTCCTCGCACAGCTGCCAGGGAGCACAGGGACCGCAGCACAGGGTCTTCTGCTCAGCACCGGGACCCCGCTCGCTGCAGCTAAAGAAACAGATACGTCCAAGGGCTCCACGGCCGGGGCCGGGCACCTGGAACAGGGTGGTCCTGGGGCGGCCACATCCACTCCTTCCAGGTGAGTTCCCGGTGACTCTCGGCCTGCAGTCGGCCTTGCTGAATTCTCTTAGGCCACCTGGCTGCCCCCTGCTACGCGTCCAGCTGTTGATCGCCCACTGACCTGTAGAAGACCTGGTCAGCCCCTCTGTCTTCCGTCACCCATGGAGGCGCCTGCAGGTGCTCCGCGCAGCCCGCCCGGCCCTGCACAGACCCGAGGCGGCACCAGGGGGCGCTGCCGGCCCGAGGACGCGGGCGCGGGGCGGAGGCTGCGGGGCAGGAGCCGCTGTGCGCGTTCAGGCAGCTGCCCGGGACCCCTGGCACCGACCGCAGCCCCCAGAGGCCCCCGGGGGGTTTCCGCCTGAGCCTAAACCGAAGACAGGGCATGTTTTCAGTCATCCCGACCCCACAGACTCAGCCCGTTAGTTCCCGCGCTGCCCGGCGCCCTAGTACCCAGAGCCGGTGGGGACTCCAGGCCACCAAAGGCAGGGGCGGGGCGGGCGGTTGAAGGAAGATTGGGACACGGAGAAGAGGGACAAGGCCTGGGGCCCGAGGGGTCAGGACGCTCTGCCAGCCTCACCACCCGCAACACCCAGGCACGGACGCACGCACACACTCCACACGTGTGAACACGCACGCATGGCTGCACACACGTGCACAGAGAGGCACAGCCCGCAGGAACACAGATGCACGCACACAGGCACAGGCACGCTCCCTCACTCACTCTCTCTCACACACCCCAGGTGCAGACACCCCCACCCAGAGGTTGCAGCTCGGATGGAGAAACAGGCTGGGTCACAAAAGCCCCGGGAGGCAGCCCCTGCTGTCTGGCGTCTTCTCTGGGGAAAGCTTTCCGGAGCCTGATGGAGGAAGACAGAGGAAAGAGACCTGTGTTCCCTGATGCACTGGCCAGCCGCTTCCCGGGGAGGAGGAGGCAGAAATACACAGTAACTGATTGTTGCCTTTGGTCTGTGAACTGTACTATGGAACACTGGAACTTACTCCTTCACCTGACTGCATGTTTGTGCCCCATAACCAGCCTCACTTTCTGTCTGCCTCTCACCCACACACCCTGCCTAGCCTCTGGGAACCACCAGCCAACTCTCTGCCTCTGTAAGAGCCACTCTTTCAGTGCCCACAAATGAGTGAGAACATGGTACATTTGTCTTTCTACCCCGGCTTACTTCCCTTAACATGACAGCCTTCAATTCCATCCATGTTGTTGTAAACGACATGATTTCATTCTTGTTTATGGCTGCGGAGTATTCCATTGCGTAAGATACCACGTGTTCTGTATCCATTCATCCATTGATAGGCACCCAGGTTGATTCCATTTGGCTTTTGAAAGTGTGTAGTTGGAGAATCCAATGTGCCCCCTCGGGTTTTCAAAATGTGGGCATCTTGAGTGCGGGAAAGGAAGTGCCTGCCGCTCCCCAGGGCACCCGGTGGCATCTGCAGAGGGGAGGCAGCCACAGCAGGCCTGCCGTGGTGACAGCAAATAGCCAGGCGGCCAGGGAGGCTCCTGCGGTGACAGCCCCGGGTCACAGGGTCAGAAGCAGCCCACCGGGGCCGGGGTGGCTTGCGTTAGTTTGGGAACATTTTAAGCCATTACCACTTTAAATACTGATTTTGCCTATTCTTTCTCTCCTTCCCAGAACTCCAGTTACTCACGTGTGGTGTCTTCTCATTGTGTCTGCTGTCTCTTCCCATCTCACTGGGGCAGTAGGGCTGCCATAAGCCAGCACCACAGACCAGGGGCTCCACAACCCTGGTGGCTGCAAGTTCAAGATCAACACAGGGACAGGGTTAGTCTAGTGAGGCCTCTCTTCCTGGCTTGTGGAGGGCCACCTGCTCCCTGTGTGCACAAGGCCTTTTCTCTGTGCACACGCATGTGCACGCGCACACACGTGCACACACATGCACACACGCGCACACACACGTGCACACACACGCACACATGCACACACACGCACGCAATCTGGTGTCTCTTCCTCTTCTCATAAGGACTCCAGTCCTATCGGATCAGGGCCCCACCCTGCTGGCTGCACTTCACCTTAATTACCTCCCTAATGTCTTCTCTCCAGACAGACTCTCCTTGGTGGGTGGGGCTTTGTGAGGGTTTGAATGTCCGTGTTCCCCGAAATTCATCTGTTGAAATCCTCACCCCCAAGGCGATGGTGTTAGGAGATGGGGCCTGTGGTAGGGACGGGGTCCTGAAGGTGGACCGCTGATCATGGGATCGGTGTCCTCATAAAAGAGGCCCCAGAGCGCCCCTCCCCCATCCCCCATGTGAGGACGCAGTGACACACCAGGGAAGCCGGTCCTCACCACACACGGAATCTGCCGGTACCTTGATCTGAGACTCCCCAGTCTTCAAAGCTGTGAGAAATGCATTGTTGTTTCTGAGCCCCCAGTCTATGGCATTTTGTTATGGCAGCCAGAACTAAGCCAGGCTTCCGCATGGGCATTCTGGGAGGACGCGGTTCAGTCCCTCACACTTGCTCTCTCTATTTTCCTCCTTATGCTTCTGTCCTTCATTCTGAGAATCTTCTTCTGACCTACTTTCTAGTTATTCATTATTGTTCAGTGATATCTAAACTGTTTTTAAACCCACTTACTGAGTTCTGAAACATCGCTTGTATTTTTTCCAGGCAATCATTTTTGTATTGCATTTACAAATAGGCATGGAAATAGAGACTGCAATGGGAAAATAGAGAACGCAATGAGAAAAGTTGGAGTTCTAGAAAGAAAGTGGAGGGAGAATAGGAAGAATACAATCAGCAAAGAAAAAAAAACAAATCTTTCCTTTTTGTGTAATTTTTATTTCTCCACTGAAGTTCTTGACCTTCTCTTTTTCTTCTCATGGACAATGTCTCCAGCGCTCTCTGCAGCCGGCGTCTGAGGGTGCTGCGTCTGCATTCTCGTGTAGACGTTTTCATTTGCTGGGTTTCTCACCGCTTATACTCACATTGCCATCTCTCCATGTGTGCCTGGCTCTTTCTTTCTTTGCCTGACATTCTGTTTGCAGTGTTTTGGAAGGAGAATCTGAGGCCAGAATGATGGCTCCTCCAGAGAGGGTGAGCCTGAGTGCCGGCAGCCTGGAGGGGCAGGGCGGTGGCTCTGGTGTCCTGCGGTTTGCGTGGGCTCTCTCTGCACTTACACTCACAAAAAGACAGTATCTCAGGCAGGAATTCTCGCAGGGTGCAGGCTTCTCTTTTGACAGTTTAATGTCACGCGTGGGTTCCTTTGTAAACATCAGATCAATAGCGGAGTTCCAAATTAAAACATTAGGATAAGAAGCCCATGTTGACTCATCCGTCCCTGGAATGGCCTAGAAGACGGGGCACTTGGTGTTCGGAGATGCGTCTGTCTCAGGCCGGCCTCCACGGGTCAGGTAGCCTAGGGTGGGAGGAGGAGGGCGGCGGGCAGCCCCACAGCCGAGATCCAGGAGAAAGGAAGAGCCACTCACTTTCTCTTCTTCACAAAGTCCTGGGAACGCAGGGAGGGGAGACGGGGTCTCGTTCTCAAAGGCAGCTTTGTAGCCAAACTGCTCCCTCCCGGCAGGAAGAGAATCCCCGCTCAGAAGAAAGGAGGACCACCCCCGATGACGGCAGGTGGCCCCAAGTGTTTGGATGCGGTGGGCCCCACTGGTTTGGGCCTAACCTCAAGCGGCTGCTAATGGTTCCATGACACTTTTCCCGCTAACACTTCACAGAGATGTCTGACTGATGTCCACTGCTCAGCTGCACCGCTGAGCTGGTGAGCATTCAGGCAGAGCACCCACCTCTACTTTTCTCACCCCGAAAATCAGAGACTGGTTCTCAGCTGGTGCAGCCACCGCCCCAGCGTGCCGGATGCAGGACTTTCCCTGCGAACACTGGACAGTCCCAGCAAAGCAGACGGTGGGTCGCTCTGTATCTCTGAAGAACAGCTGGGCCTGCGTGTGTCATTCTCAGGCATCTGGCGCAGGGCTTCTCCTCCAGGAAGGTGGCTGCTCAGCTCCGGGCACTGCCAGGGGCCACGGACCCCGCATCCTTTCCAGGCTGTTCCGCAGCATCTGCCCTCATACTCACAGCCACCGCTGCGTGTGTCCCAGGGATTCTCAGAATAGAATTCTGTGCCTCTCTCGCCTCTGGAAGTGACCGCGCTCTGTAGGAAAATATCACAGCACGCCGGCCTCGAAAGGCCACGACGTGGCCCTAAACTGTTCTAAGTATGTCAGTTACTTAGAACAATCAGAAAGGGGCAGAACAAGCTGGGGTGTGGAGTCAGGGGTCAGGGCACAGACAGCATCTCTTGTCTTGCAGAGAGAATGCTAGCAATTTGCAAGTTACTTGAAAAGGTTTGTGATTTTCCAACGCCCTGAGTAATTCTAGCCAAAATGCGTGACTCGCCTCACACTAGATGCTTGCTGTAATTGTGTCTCTGTATTAAACTGACCGTTCTTTGGAGCTTCAGAATGGACCAGGAGGAAAAGGTAAATACCAACCTCGCTACAACCTCAGAGGCATCAACGCCCTCCTGCTACAGACGCATCTGTTCTCGCCTGGCTCCTGCCGGCTGCCCTGGGAGAGGCCACAAAATGCCCTCCACGGAGACAAGGCCTGAGAACCTTCGGGACGCCCGCTGCCGCTCACTGTGTTGAAGAACTGCCCGTTCCGCACCCCGGGCCCTAGACACACGGCTCTGCAGAGGACGAGGAAGTGCCGTCAGGTGAGACTTCACCATGAAATATCTTCTGAGACACAACAATCTCCCTGAATTAAAACTACAGACTCTAATTTATAAAAACTGTGTGTTTCAAAAGCTCCAAGTGTTTACATTCTCCGATTCATCATTCCTTCTTCTAATTTATTTTAGGAAATAATGCAAAGTACTCACAAAAATTTATATAGAAAGATGTTCATTGCAGAATTCATTATAATAAAAACCTTTAAATGCTCTGAGTGCCCAGCGTCAGCATGGTGATAACATACATACGAGGGAATATTGTGCAGCTGCAGTTAGTTCTTATTACATTTCACAGGCATCTTAAATGCTTTGTGAACACCGGTGCATAGATTTTTTTGTTTGGTATAGATGGCAATGATTAGATGGGTGAAATAATAAAAAAAATGGACATATAATTTTAAAAATATTGAGTGACAGAAAAAAATGAAAAAATGTTAAAGAACTTTTTGGTTATGATATTATCACTAAAAGGCCGTGTCTCCTTGCTCCCTTCTTTGGGGACGGTTCTGGGCTTGCCTGGCCCGTGGGTGGGAATTGTGGTGCTCCAAGTGCCTTCAGCTGCTGCTGGGGTCCCAGGAGCCCAGCCTAGGTGTTCTTCCATCCTCACCACCCCATGGCCTCCATGGAGCCCCACGGCAGCCTCAGGAAGGAGGGCAGTATCGTCAGAACACAGTCCTCATGGACCCCCCAAGAGACCCTTGGGCAGAATGCCCCATCCCACCCAGGTCCAGCTTCACTCAGCACGTAAACAGGAACACGGCTGCAGGCAGGCTCCACGCACCCCGTCCCCAGGGAAGCCGCAGCCCTCGTCCCACGTATCCCGGGCAGGCATCTGTAACTGAGGGCTGCGTGGTCGGGTGAGCAGCGAGGCACATGCTGGCTGGGCGGGGAGGGGCGGCCCTGAGTGGTCGTCTTGCTCAGTGCTAGAGGGGCTCTGAGCCGAAGGTCTGAGGGTCCTGGAGCTGCCATGGCAGATCCCCACAGTCTCGGCAGCTCAAAACAACAGGGACTCATTCTCTCCCCGCTCAGCAGGGAGGGGTCTGAAATCGAGTCCATGGGCCGTGCTCCCTCCAGAGGCTCCAGGGGAGGACCCTGCCACCTCCACCAGCTTCTGTGGCTCCAGGCGTCCCTGGGCCGCGGCCACAATGCTGCACCTCTGCCTCGGTCTCCAGGCGACCTCCTCCTCTGTCTGCGTCTAACCTCCCTCTGCCTCTGTGTAAGGACACTTGCCGTGCATGTAGGGCCAACGAGTTAATCCAGAATGACCTCCTTATCTCAAGATCTTTAACTTAAACACAGCCACAAAGACCTGCCTCCTATTTGAAGAGAGGTTCTCTGCACAGTTCCAGGGTCAGGAGGTGAACACCAGGTGGCCCAGCCTCAGCCACCCCAGTGATGATGTGTGAGGTTTCAGAACAGCTGTGCTGCCCTGTTAGGAGCTATACACGCAGAAAGGCAACTCCGCCAGCGTCAGGGGTGCCGGATGCATGCAGGATCAGAAGGCGTCGGATTTCCCAGGGAAGCTGGGGAGCAAGGATCCTGCACCAAGGGAGGCAGGAGGCCGGAGACCAGCCCAGGCCCAGTCCAGGAGGAGCCTGGCCAGGAGTCCCACCAAAGCCACTGGAGCCTCCGTGACCCAGCCCTGGAGGGTCAGCACTGTCCCTCAAACGGATTCTTCACACACAGGTCTCTCTGTCTGTGGGGGCTGCAGGGCCAGTGCCTGAGGAGCCCGGACTTCACACAGGGGTCTCTCTGTCTGTGGGGGCTGCAGAGCCGGTGCCTGGGGAGCCCGGACTGCCGGAAACCTTTGCGGTGGGAGGCTGCAGATGGGACTTCTTGGCCTGTGTTTATGTGGAGCCCAGGCTGCGGGCACCACAGCCAGGCACAGGTCAGGGGTAAGTTGTGGGTGATGTAAGGACTAGAAGCGTAAGTAATGGCCTGACCCCCATGTCCTGGCTGTGCTGTGCGGTGGGAAAGACATGGGCTCCGGCGGCTGCTGGGGATGGCCTGGCTTGCACCTGCTGGGTCCCCCCCTGGCCACCAGCCTCACCCAAGGGCAGTTGGTGACTGCCTGCCTCACTCCTGCCAACCCTCAGGGGCCTAGGAGTCCTGCGTGGTGGGTCTAGGAACCATGCTGGAGGACAGGCCTGTGCCAGGGCCACCAGGATGTCTATGGCAGGAGCCGGTGCTGGCGAACCCCACACCTTGAGCCCCAGAGCCAGGATCCTCAGCCCAGGAAAGGGACCAGAGGCGGGAAAACCACACGGCAAAGGCTGTCCCGTGAGGTCACGGCTCCGTCACCGCTGCCCACACACGGAAGGCAGCCGCGGCTGGGTGAAGCCATCTTCACAGACATGCCGTCCTTGAGGCTCTCACACATGCACACAGACGCTCCGTCCTCTCCCACCCGCCCCCCCGCCACCCCGGGCAGGCCAGGAAGTCCCATCTGGGGCCTCCCACCCCGAGGGTTGCCGTCAGTCCGTGTGCCCAGGCATCGGGGCCTGAAGCCTCCACAGACAGCGAGACCTGTGTACGAAGCAGACTCTGTCCTAGGGACAGTGCTGACCCTACAAGGCTGGGTCACTGGAGGCTCCCCGGGTCCAGTGGCTTTGGTGGGACTCCTGGCCAGGCTCCTCCTGGGCCGGGCTGGTCTCCGGCCTCCTGCCTCCCTTGGTGGAGCACCCTTGCTCCCCAGCACCTCCCAGGTTCACACAGCTCCTCCCTGGGGCTGCGCACTGACCCAGGGGCAGGAGGTGGGCCATCCTCTCGGTGGACTGAAGACCTTGTCCGAAGGGAAAGCAGGGCCGGCCCAAGGCCTGGCTGGAAGAGTGGGTCTTGGTGGCAAAGGCGGCCCGTGGGGGCAGCCCACGCGAATGCTTCCCCGGCGCCCTGAGCCCCTGACCGCGGCTGAGCCTGCGGTACTCTGGCCCCTCTCGTGGAAAGATGACCTGGGTCTACCATGCTCAGTATCACCCAAAAATTCCTACAGAAGTCTCTCGGGACAAGAAAAGGCCTTCTTCCCTCCCTCCTCCTTTCCTCTTCCTTTCTTTCATCAGGGAACAGCTTCCGGCTGCCTGCACTGTTTGGGCGCCGTCATAAGGAGCCGTGACGGCCTTCACAGAGCTCCGGGGCTCACGGGTGTGGCTGACCTGCCACAAATGGGGCGACAGAGGAGAGGGAGGGTCGGGCACCGATGGCTCAGGAGGGAAGAGATCCCTTCTGTATGGGGAGACGGGGGCTTCCTGGAGGGCACTGGAGCGAGGGGCTCACCAGAGTGAGACATCCAAGGGATCTGGGGGACCGGCCATGGGACACTGCGGTCCCACGTGGCTCCTGGATGTGCTGTGTGTTTGCTGAGCTGGAGGGGACGGGGAGCCCATGTGTGGGAGAGGGAGAGGCCATGCACGCCCTGAGTCGGGCTTTACAAAAACCTTCTGGGGGCAGCAGGAGAGGAGCCACGCAGAGGCAGAGCCAGGGAGAGGCGGTGGGGTAGTGAGGGGGATGTCGGGGTGCACGGGTTAGGAGACCCCCGAGTCCTGGGACCTGCATGCTGATAGTCAAGGTTGCAGAGGCGGCTGCTGTGGTGACCACAGGGCAGGGAGAGGCAGTGGGGTAGTGAGGGAATGTCGGGGTGCACAGCACCAGACCCTCCCAGATCTTCTGATTCAGTCCTGGGGGGACCCTACCCCAGATCTTCCAATTCAGTCCTGGTTCGGCCTGAGAATTTGCATTTTTAACATGTCCAGGGACCACAGTTTGAAAACCTCCACGGCTGACATGTAATGGGATGACATGGTCCAATAAATGAAGGAAAAATAACAGGTGGCAACCTCAGGCAGCTTCATCCCAACCAGTAAGAAAGTAAATCCTTTTGTAAACTAAGAGGAAGTATTAATATGGGCGTTTGAGCAAACATTTAAGTGTTAGAACAAAGAATTAAAAACTAGCACAGGCACCCCTGAAGCATGATAGGATGGCAACAGAAGGGCTGATTTAGTTTCCAAGAAATAACTGACAGGCAGTGTTGTGCGTGTGTCTACTACTTAGGAACCCAAAACAAACCTTCAGACCGTTTTCATGAGTACTGAGACCAAGAAAACCACTGGGCAGTGGGTGGTCTGGAAATGTAAATGTTGATGGTACTCCAGTAATGAGTCATGGAACAATGTTTCATATTGAAAATGTTTTTGTAAATGTGGGTTTCAAGGTTTCAAAGTGAACCCGTATGTGTTAGGAGAAAGGACACACCAAAGAAGTAAAATAATTGGGTCAATATAAAAAGAAAGTAGAATACTGCCCAGAGAGAAGATGTGGATAATTCCTAACACGGATCAAAGGCACCAAAAAGGTGAGCTGTGAGTAAGATATTCAGACCTGCACCATCCCCTGCATTAGACACAGACAACATCTTGGTAGGCAACTGGGTGAAAATTCAGAGACAACCCTAGGAACTATGAGGATGAAAAAAGTTAGCATTCATGGAATGAGGCACTGACGAAACTGAAAAGCTGGAATAACCCCATGAAATAACGAGAATAATTGTAGTATTCTGAACCGGGGCACAGGACACAGGACTGGAGTGGAAGGCCGCATGAGACCACCCCGGGAAAGACCCAGGGATCACACTGGCCCAAAGGTGGGCACTTCCCAACTCCGGGATTTGTGATACAGGCACTCCAGGCTCCACCATAGAACTGTGTCCAGCACGAAGGCAGTGCTGTCTTGCGGGAGGCAGGGCTGCACCACCACAGGGGCGGGAAGGGGCCCGGCAGGGAGGCGCCCAGTGTTTCCAGCTGCACCGGTCGGGGACCGCGCTGATGCAGAGCGCGGGGGCGCAGGTTAAACCTAAAGGAGGGAAGCTTTTGGGGGCGGAACAGACAACGGAGAACGCTGCACACTGCCCTTCCCACGCGAATTGTGCTTTGCCTTTTTTTTTTTTTTTTTTTTTTTTGAGACGGAGTTTTGCTCTTGTTGCCCAGGCCTGGAGTGCAATGGCCTGATCTCGGCTCACTGCAACCTCCGCCTCCCGGGTTCAAGCAATTCTCCTGCCTCAGCGTCCCGAGTAGCTGGGATTACAGGCGTGCGCCACCACGCCCGGCTAATTTTGTATTTTTAGTAGATACTGGGTTTCTCCATATTGGCCAGGTTGGTCTCGAACTCCTGACTTCAGGTGATCCACCGGCCTCGGCCTCCCAAAGTGCTGGGATTACACGCGTCAGCCACCGCACCCGGCCTGCTTGCTTTTTTTTTTTTTTTTTTTGCAGAGTCTCGCTGTCCACCGGGCTGGAGCTGCAGTGATCTCGGCTCCCTGCGGCCTCGACCTCCCGGGCTCAGGCGATCCTCCCGCCTCAGCCCACGGAGTACATGGGACCACAGGAGCCCACCACGCCCGACTACTTGCTGTAATTTTTGTAGGGATGGGGTCTAGCCCCGCTGCCCAGGCTGGTCCGCACTGCTGGGCTCAAGAGCTCCGCCCGCCTCCGCCTCACAAAGCGCAGGGATCCCAGGTGTGAGCTACCGCGCCCCGCCCAGAGTTTCCGACTGTTAGCGTGAATCATATTCACGTCAAAACTTCTTTTTATACAAGAACTAAAAGGCAAACGAAATCCCTGCTCCATCACTGCCTGTCCCGGGTCGCGGCGCGGGACATTTCCTCCAAGCGCCTTCCCGGCCCCGCGCGCAGGTGGCCTGCGCCGGAGGATCCCGGACAACGCGCATTTCCTGCGCCCCCGGAAGCGGCGGTAACGCCTGGCCCTGCCCCCGGCAGAGGCGGAAGCACAGTCGCTCTGAGGTCGCCCGTGGCCGCAGGTGCCTCAGCCCAGCCGCGCGCCTTGGCCCTTGGCCGCCTACTCCTACCGCCCCGGCCTTGGGCGGCCCTGGGCCTGCTGCGGGCGCGGCGCTGCCCGACCAGAGCTTCCTGTGGAACGTCTTCCAGAGCTGCCACCTGGCACCGCCCCGGCACCTCCCGCCTCCCCCGCAGCTGCCCCGGACCCGTGTCCCGACCCCCGCGGCCAACCCCGTTCCCTGCCGGTTGCCCCGCGGCCTCCCCCGTCACCTGCCGGGTCCCCAGCGGCCTCCCCCGTCCCCTGCCCCGACCTCCGCCGTCTCCCCCGCCCCTGCCCGGACCCCCGCGGGCGCCCCCGAACCCTACCCCGACCGACGCGGCCGCCCCCATCCCCTGCCCCGACCCCCGCGGCCGCCCCCATCCCCTTCCGGGTCCCCCGCGGTCTCCCCCGTCCGCTGCCCGGTCTCCTGGGGCCGCCCCTGCCTCCTGCCCGGTCCCTGTCCTGTGCGTCGGGCGCTTCCCAAGGTGCAGAGGGCGCCACTGCAGACCCGAGGTCGCGGCCACCGGCTCCTGGGCCAGGCCCCGTTTCTCGCCTCGAGCCGTCGGGGGAGGGTCTCCAGGGTGCTTGTTTGGGGAAAGCGGAAACAGACTGTCTGGGCCGCTGTTAAAATGTCAGCAGCCAAGGAAGAAGCAGCGACCTGGCGTCTGCTCGGGCCAGGTGACCTTTATGGCGGCGCCTTCTGTCCCTGGTCGCTTTTCCACTGAATGAATGACCGAAACTGTAGTAACTCATGGCCAGGGAATGGCTTAGTTATCTGAGGGAATCTTGTCTTGTCTGTGAAAAAGGGAAACTGGTGCAAATGGGAATTCAGACAGGTCAGGAGGGGAAGGAAGGGAAGGATTGAGGTGGGAAAAGAGAGAGAAAGATGATTGTCCTCTTAGGGGAAGAACACACTTGGACGTGGCTCCTGGGGCACTTCCTTGATTCCGCTGTACTCCTCAGCGGGACCGGAGAGGCGGAGGTTCCAGGAGGGAGCCTTCCAGAGTCGGTGCAGGGTTGACAGGAGACGTTTGTTTTGCTTTTCCTGAACTTTCGATCGCCAGCTTGTTTGGTCTTCTTGATGTTATAGGGTTGATAGAGAGGAGTGGAGTGATATCGGACACCCAGCTTCAGCAAGCTCTCTCCAAGGGTGAGTGGGCCAGTGGGACCTGGGTCTCCGGACCAAGAAGCCGCGAGCCTGCCCTGCTCACAGTGGATAACTTTCTTTCTGAAGTTGATTTTCCAAGGACAAAGGAATCATTAGGACAAATTATTACTGCTTCATGGTGGAGATGCTTCTGGTTTATTTTGTGGCTACCGCTGTTACTGCTTGGAGTGCCTCACCGAGCCAGCTAACAACGGCGTGCGTGAGCGCAGGGAAAGGCTTCTTGAGAAATGAAAACTAGGTTGTAGGTTTAGGAGGGGAATAGGAAGGTTAGCTCTGTCCAGCCGAAAGCCTTTTGGTAAGTTGGGGGTCCTTGAATTTCCTGGGTGACTGCATCTTGGTGACTTCTCTGAATAGACCTTCGAGGGCACTGGGGGGTGATTGTTGGAGGGCTTGGGGAGCTCAGGCAGCACTTGTGTGGGAACGTGGCTGTTACAGGAACTGCAGAAACTGGGACTGGGTTCCTGGGGAAAGGATTGGGGGTGTTGGAGGCGCTGGCAGGGGAGTTATGGGGAGGCGTTCTTATCAGTGTGCGAATATTGGGCGTTCAGGCAGCGGGAAATCTGGGTCCTTGGCGTGTTGTGAGCTCCCTGGAGTTACGTTCTTGCCAGTTTCAGCTCAATTGATCCCCCTCCCCTGAGCTATCATTGGATACATTTTACTTCATTGAACACCTGACTGCTGCTTTTTCTGTAATCCCTCAGGGGCAGTCATCTTTTCTGATTCTGTGTATAGTTTGCCTTTCCAGATCCGTGCCATTTAAGCTAGAAAAGGGGTCAGTTTTGAGATGTTGTGAAAATGTTGAAAGGCTCCTCGTTATTAGTGGGAAGTATCTGATGTTGCCAGAGACTGAACTGGGGCGCGGGGAGCACTACGGCTGCTAGACACTGCCTCACTGCGCTGTGGGTGGTGGGGGGGGAGGTGCTGGATTCAGTCTTACTGCCTAATGATTTGTGAGGATTTGTGTTTTCAGAGTAACATGTTTACCTTATGTTATCAGTTCCTAATATGTGACGTATGGGCCACAGATGCTGGTGTATTATTTCACATGCATTTATATAGATTGTTTTCAGGGAATTCAGAAATTCTGTTATCTCTACACTAGTGATTGTGCTTTCTTGATTTTTCTCTTTTCATTATTCTTAAATCCTCCTTTTTTTATTTGCATCTCAGTTTATTTATACTCGGGAAGTGCAAGACATGGCGACTAGAAAGAGATGTCAAGAGAACCCGGAATCCAGTAGGCTACAATTTGGCAAATCTTAGCTTAAAACTTCCTAAATGTTGACCACAGTGGATGCAAATGGCTCTGTGCATCGTCTGTTCAATATGGTCAGGTGACCACCCAGGTTCACGTGGTTTGTCACCAGGGTGATACGAGCCACACGGAGTGCCCTCCTCAGAGGCCATGTCTCAGAGACGTTTATTTTGAGTGGTTTTCCAGCGAGTGATGCAAGATTTATGATCCATTTTAACAGCTGCTTTTTATGCATTTGCTCAAATTTTTAGATTTTAAGTTTAGTTTTAGGTTTTCTGTTAATTTGCTCAACTAGGAGTGGTGGTCAAATACTGGACCTCATTAGCATGGTAGCCTGCCCTCCTTGGCAGGCTCCACTGGAGTGCCTTGGGGCCTGCCTGGATTCCAGTCCTGGCTCTACCAGTTTTGTGTCCTCGCCGTTACTGGGAGGGAGTATTGAGGAAATGCATGCGAGGTGCCTCCGTGATTCCTGGCACGGAGCAAGTGCTCAGTAATTGTCAGCTGTGAGTATTAGTAGTAGCTAATACACTACTACTATTCTTGGCTAACAAGCCAGCTCAAAGCTTTGATGGTTTTCCATTACCTGATGATGGTGATGATGGTTTCCACTTCCTGAACACTCACACCCCTGGGCTAGGCACTTAACCCAAATCCAAGGTCAGCGTTATTGTTTGGAGGTGGGGGAGACACCTCCTGCTCTGACTCGTGTGTTTGGGTTCCCGTATTTTCACCAGAGGGTGTTAGTCCTGCCCCAGTTCAGCTGGTCCTCAAAGCGTATATAGCTCTTTAACCCTCAGCAAGTGTCAGTCAGAACATAATCTTGATTTCAGCTGCTACTAAATATCTACCAGGAGCCTGCTTGAGAGAGAGAATTGCCTGACAGGTGCTGAGTCCACCATTCCTGAGATACTTTGAAATCAGTGTCTGGCTTAACCCAAGCTGTGTATGGGGACCCTCTCACCGTGGTCCCAATGGAGTCGCTTTTGTTAGGCGCCCCCCTTTACCTTGGGCTCTGAGCTTCCTCTGCCTTTCATCTCTGCAGGATGAAGCCCCACTCGCCCTTCAGGATGCAAAGCCCTCCTCTATAAAGTGCATGCGGGGCCAGATGCAGTGGCTCACGTCTGACCTCCCAACACTTTGGGAGGCCGAGGCAGGGGGATCGTTTGAGACCAGCCTGGACAACATTGTGAGACCCTGTTCCTTGAATTGCCCTGGGAGATTTCCTCAGCTTGTACTGGAGGTGTGTGGCCCCATGAAGCCCATAGTCACCGTTCACCCTGAGAGACGCTGGCTTTGGGGCTGACACACCTGCTGCGGGGCAGCCCCAGGAGATGGCCACCCTGTTTCTCCTGGAGCTGGAGCTGCGCGTCTTCTCAGAAACTGTGGTGGCTGTCCTGTTTTGTTTGCATCTTATAAACCTTTACCTGATTACATTTTCCTCTTCAATTTAGCTGCTAGAAAACTTAAAGTCAGATTGGTGGCTCACCAGTAATGAGAGTTTAGAGTAGAGGTAAACTTTATGACATAGTCTTAGACTCTTCACTTTCTCCTCAGCCAACATGATTCACATTTACTTTATTTTGCTGTACTGTGAGTGTCTTTGTGTTTCCTGAATTCCTTCTGGAATAAGGCAGGTTGTTAGTAAGCACAGGTTTCTGGTCCATCTCATAGCCTCAGGCAGTGGGCGGTGCTGTCCGTGCTCCCTTTCTGGGTTACCTGTGGTAGCTCTGAAGTTGCAGGGCTGCGATTTGAAGCCTGATTTAGTACACCGTGTTTCTGTTGTGTTCTGTGGTGGTTTGCTCCTCACATGTGAGCATTCACCCTGTGGCCCTGTGTTTTTCCACCACACCTCTGCCTGGTGGCATCCTACTGGATGTCTCAGCTGAGCCACTCTGTTCTGAAGATGCCCTTGTCCTCCACCCCTTTGCTTTGGGCTCTGAGCTTCTTCTGCCTTTCATCTCTGTAGGATGAAGCCCCACCCGCCCTTCAGGATGCCAGCCTTGGCAACATTGTGAGACCCTGTTTCTACAAAAAGTAAACGTGTAGTGGTGCACGCCTGTAGTTCCAGCTACTTGGGAGGCTGAGATGGGAAGATCACTTGAGCCTGGGAGGTTGAGGCTGCATTGAGCTGAGATCAAGCCACGGCACTCCAGCCTGGGAGACAGAGCGAAACCCCATCTCAAAAAAACAAAGAAAGTGGATGCGCGCTGCTCCTGCCATTGGATCATCGCAGCATTTTTCTTTTCTCTGATATGCGCCTTTTTCCTCATCGTGGGGGCTCATGTTTTCGTACTTTTCTCTCGCTACTAGATTGTGAGCTGCGTGAAGGAAGGTTCATAGTCGTGTTGTATGTACAGGCACACAAAATTTGTGCTTGGATAGACACATATCAATCCGCTTCCTTCTCCTCTCTGAGTTTCTTTATTTAAAAAAAAAATTAGAGATGGAGTCTCACTGTCTTGCCCAGGCTGGTCTCAAACTCCTAGGCTCAAGCGATCCTCCCGCCTCTACTAATATGAATTATTAGCCTATACTAATATGAATTCCTATACTAATATGATTGAAATTAGTTTGACTTGTATAATAATTGTTCTCCCAGATTGGGCTTCTGTTTTGATAGTAGAACTAAATTATTAGGCTATTTCAAGAAATTAATATATTACTGGTAGAAAAACTGAAGCTACAAAATGGCCTGGTTTCTCACTTCAGTTAAATTTGTGCTTCTGAGTGCTTGTATTGTAGGTGAAACCGCACTGAGAAGGTATTTGTGGCCCGTATGCTGATTGATTGATGAGACTTCTTTGCACAGGAGAGCTGCTAAAAATTATTACGGTGAACAGGTATGAAGAAGACTGTTCTCTGCCCTTCTTTTTGCAATAAAATGTTACAAACTATCTTGAGATTGATCCCTTTTCGGGTGTTTGGGTTTTTTTTAACATTCACATATTTCTTGGAATTATAAGAAATTAACTTTGTGCTTCTGAAGTGGGTTTCCCTTAATATAACACTGATGTATTTGTAAGGGGCATTTTTAAAGTTGTACTTTAAAAAATAATAATTCTTACATTCGTTTGAAGGTTTTTTGTTTGTTTGTTTGTTTGTTTTTGAGATGAAGGCTTGCCCTGTCACCCAGGCTGGAGTGCAGTGGCATTGATCTTGGCTCACTGCAACCTCTGCATCTGGAGTTCAAGCAATTCTCCTGCCTCAGCCTCCTGAGTAGCTGGGACTACAGGCACCTGCCACCACGCCCAGCTAATTTTTTGTATTTTTAATAGAGATGGGGTTTCACCGTGTTAGCCAGGATGGTCTCAATCTCCTGACCTCATGATCCACCCACCTCGGCCTCCCAAAGTGCTGGGATTACAGGCGTGAGCCGGGGGCCAACATGGTGAAACTCTATCTCTACTAAAAATACAAAATTAGCCGGGAATGGTGGTGTGCGCCTGTAATCCCAGCTACTCGGGAGGCTGAGGCATGAGAATCACTTGAACCTGGGAGGCAGAGGTTGCAGTGAGCTGAGATAGCGCCACTACAGTCCAGCCTGGGGGACAGTGAGACTCCATCTCAAAAAAAAAAAACAAAAAAAGAATAGAATAACTCTTGTTTAGGTGTTACAAAATCCAGGCCAGACCAATCTAAACTTTAATCTCATACCCAGTTCCTAGATGAGTCCCTTCTCCAGCTCAGGTTCGGCCTAAGCCTCAGGGTTCCTTGCTTGGTGGGCACCACCTGCTCCCTTCCCCGCCTTTGTTCCTCTTTTTCCTCTGCTGGCTCCTCCGGGGTTGGGTGTGTTCAGAGGCAGAGACAGGCTAAAGGTCTTTGGCTTTTAGGTTCTGTTGATGGGTGAGTTCCAGATATAGCTTTCTCTTGTAGGATATTTCATTTATTTATCTATTAAAAATATTTATTTAGAACACACCATTCATGTGCCAGACCCTGTTCCAGGAACTGGGGAGAGGGTGATAAATGAGATCAACAAAAATACCTGCCCACATTAAGCTCCTGTTCTAGGGAAGACAAAAAAGAAAGAAAATACACGTGTCCTTAGTACATTAGAAGGTTCCAAGTACTGTAGAGAAAAATAAAGTAGGTTGGACTCGGTGGCTCATGCCTGTAATCCCAGCACTTTGCGAGGCTGAGGTGGGAGGATTACTTGAGCTCAGGAATTTGAGACCAGCCTGGGCAACATGGCAAATCCTGTCTCTACCAAAATAAAAAAAAAAAAATTAGCTGGATATGGTGGCGTGCACCTGTAGTCCCAGCCACTGGGGAGGCTGAGGAGGGAGAATTGCTTCAGCCCAGGAGGTGAAGGTTGCAGTAAGCTGAGATCGTGCCATTGCACTCCAGCCTGAGTGACAGAGCCAAACCCTGTCTCAAAAACAAGGAAAGAAAGAAAATGAAAAAAAGAAAGCAGAGATGGGGCAAGCAGGGGAGAGGGCTGGTGCTGGGGTCACAGCGGAGGGGCTGGGGATGCACGGGAGGGGCTGGGGATGTGAGCTTTCCTGAGTTCCCACAGTTCTCTGCCCCTCTCCTGTCTCATGGCACAAGGGCCTCCTGGGGCTTGCGGTGGTTTTGCGCCAAGCTAATATCTTGTTCTTCCCAACAGACGGAGGCCCATTGAGGCTTCTGTGTCCTCCACGGGGACCAGCATTGGGCTAAACCTGCAGACACCATTGCAAAGGGAATTCAGGCAAACCCGCTGGTGAAAAATGATTCCAGCGTGGGGACAGAGGCTGACATTTCTCGCGTGGGTGATTTAATGTTGGGCCTCAATTTTTCACTCCCCCCGTAAGAGTATGACATAGCCACAACCTTGCCAGGGCCCGAGGGAGGGTGGATGGACTTATCCGTCCCATAGGTGTTGCTCGTGGCTGGGTGACTTGCTTCTGCCAACGAGATTTTCACAGACACGGCACAAGCAGAAGCCTGGAATGTGTGGGCACTGCCAGGCCTGCCGTCTAAGGCTCTTGATTTTCCCCATGAGATGCACGTGCCCCAGGGAACGGCGGCTCTGGCTGTGGGATGAGAGGCGTGTGGAGCAGTCATGGTTCCCATCCTTAGCCTGGAGTCAAGGCCAGACTAGATCAGCCTAAGCCCAGCCACGCCACGGGTGCAGGAGTGAAGAGCAAATGCTAACTGTCCATGGAATTGACTTTCAAAGGGGCGTGTCATGTGCCTCATCCCAGCAACAGGGAAGGCATTTCTCTATCAGTCAGTTGGTAAATGATTATTGACAAACAATGTGCTGGGAAGGTGGAGTGATTTGAGTAGATTTGGCCTCTATTCTCATGGAGCTTCCTTTCTAGAGGGGAAGGCAGATGATGGATGGATAAATATAAATGATTCTAATAGGTTGGTGCAGCAGTCATTAAAAGTAATGGCGAAAAAAAAAACAAAAGAAACGGGGAGGAGCCGTTGCTGCCGTTCATTAATAGTAATGGCAAAACCCGCGATGACTTGTGCGCCAACCTAACCCAGTAACCACGGGTGTGCAAATGTGGCAATGGGCAAGTTCCGAGTGCTAGGAGAGCATCTAGCTTCCCGGAGTCAGGAGACGGGGGTTGGCAACCTAACCAAGGTTAAGTCCAAGTGAGGGGGGTGGGCAGGGAGCGATATTTCAGTGGAGACTCCAAGGATGAATGGTATTTAGAGAGTAAACCCCGATAGGGTGTTTGTCTGGCACAGAGAAGAGCCTGTGCAAAAGCTGGTGGGGTGAGAGGACACCGTGTATTCATCCACCTGAGGGGCGACCAGCAGGCTGGAGCTCAGTGGGTTGAGAGGAGGATGCAGAGCCCGGGAAAGGCACCCTAGGCAGAGGGCACAGAAGCGCAAAGGCCTGGAGTGAGGCCTGAGCCTGTGTGGTTTGAGGAACGGACAGAGGCCTGTCCGTCAGGAAGGGAACGGCACCGGGGAGAGACCTTAGGCCACAGCAGAGGGCAGGGCAGAGGGCAGGGCCGTGCTGGGCACTGTGGGCTGTGGATGGTGCTGGCATTTAAGAGGGGAGACCATAGACCAGGGCAGAGGGCAGGGCCGTGCTGGGCACTTCGGGCTGTGGATGGGAGCTGGCATTTATGCTCAGGTGATGGGAATGTGTTAAAAGATTTTAAGGAGGGGAGTAACAGTTGGGATTAATGTGTATTCTGGGAATCTCAACAAAGTAAATTCATAGTTTGAATTTTCATAAGACTTCTGCACAGGCAGAGAGAAATAAGATCATGTCTACAGCTGTGTGATGATTTTATTGAAAAACATTACTAAGTTTTTAAACGTGATTTCAAATGGTGTGTTTCTGTTTCACCTTGGACATAAGTAGATTGCAAGGCTAATGGAAAGTAGAAAAGTTAATTCATGAACATAAAAGAGATATCAATTTGAAAACAAAACGTTTATTCATTTACTTCCGCTGCAGATTTCTTGACTGCTGAATTTCATGAGAAGGGATTGTTCAGGGAGGGACATGGGGCTGAAGACCTGGAGAGGAGGTGGTGCTACCGCTGTTCAAATCTGAGGGTGGTGGAGATGGAGCCTTGGGGAGGAGCAGGTGCTGCCTTTTAAGTCTATGAGAGTCGTTGAGCTGGAGGTCCAGGGAGGAGCCAGTGCTCCCACTGATGTCTTAGGTTGTGGAGCTGAAGACAATGAAGGAGCCAGTGTGGCTGTTCTGTGAGACTCGTGGAGCTGGAGATCCAGGTGGGAGAGGTGTTTTAGCTCGGGGAAGAGCTGATGTTCTACCTTGAGGGTCGTGCAGCTGCAGACCCGGGGAGGAGCTGATGTTCTAGATTGAGGGTCGTGCAGCTGCAGACCCGGGGAGGAGCTGATGTTCTAGATTGAGGGTCGTGCAGCTGCAGACCCGGGGAGGAGCTGATGTTCTAGATTGAGGGTCGTGCAGCTGCAGACCCGGGGAGGAGCTGATGTTCTAGATTGAGGGTCGTGCAGCTGCAGACCCGGGGAGGAGCTGATGTTCTAGATTGAGGGTCGTGCAGCTGCAGACCCGGGGAGGAGCTGATGTTCTAGATTGAGGGTCGTGCAGCTGCAGACCCGGGGAGGAGCTGATGTTCTAGATTGAGGGTCGTGCAGCTGCAGACCCGGGGAGGAGCTGATGTTCTAGATTGAGGGTCGTGCAGCTGCAGACCCGGGGAGGAGCTGATGTTCTAGATTGAGGGTCGTGCAGCTGCAGACCCGGGGAGGAGCTGATGTTCTAGATAGAGGGTCATGCAGCTGAAGACTCGGGGAGGAGCTGATGTTGTAGTTTGAGGGTCATGCAGTTGAGGACTTTGGGAGGAGCTGATGTTGTTCGTGTTGAGGGTCTTTCAGCTGGGGACTCAGGGAGGAGCTGATAATCTTGATTAAGGGTCATGGAGCTGGAGACCCAGACAGGAGCTGATGTTCTAGTTAGTGGATCTTCCAGCTACAGAGTCAGAGAGGAGCTGATGTTCTAGATTGAGGGTCATGCAGCTGAATACTCGGGGAGGAGCTGATGTTGTAGTTTGAGGGTCATGCAGTTGAGGACTTCGGGAGGAGCTGATGTTGTTCACGTTGAGGGTCTTTCAGCTGGGGACTCAGAGAGGAGCTGATAATCTTGATTGAGGGTCATGGAGCTGGAAACCTAGACAGGAGTTGATGTTCTAGTTAGTGGATCTTCCAGCTGCAGACCCAGGGAGGAGCTGATGTTCTAGTTTGAGGGTCGTGCAGCTGAAGACCCGGGGAGGAGCTGATGTTCTAGATTGAGGGTCGTGGAGCTGCAGACGCGGAGAGGAGCTGATGTTCTAGTTTGAGGGTCGTGCAGCTGGAGACCTGGAGAGGAGCTGATGTTCTAGTTTGAGGTTCTTGCAGCTGCAGACCTGGAGAGGAGCTGATGTTCTAGATTGAGGGTCGTGCAGCTGCACACTTGGAGAGGAGCTGATGTTCTAGATTGAGGGTCTTGCAGCTGCAGACCTGGAGAGGAGCTGATGTTCTAGTTTGAGGATCTTGCAGCTGCAGACCCGGAGAGGAGCTGATGTTCTACTTTGAGGGTCGTGCAGCTGGAGACCTGGAGAGGAGCTGATGTTCTAGTTTGAGGGTCATGCAGGTGAAGACTCGGGGAGGAGCTGATGTTCTAGTTTGAAGGTCTTGCAGCTGCAGACCTGGAGAGGAGCTGATGTTCTAGTTTGAAGGTCTTGCAGCTGCAGACCTGGAGAGGAGCTGATGTTCTAGATTGAGGGTCGTGCAGCTGAAGACTCGGGGAGGAGCTGATGTTCTAGATTAAGGGTCATGCAGCTGAAGACTCAGGGAGGAGCTGAGGTTCTAGTTTGAGGGTCGTGCAGCTGAAGACTTGGGAGGAGCTGAGATTCTAGTTTGAGGGTCGTGCAGCAGAAGACTCAGGGAGGAGCTGATGTTCTAGATTGAGGGCCCTACAGCTGCAGACCTGAAGAGGTGCTGATGTTCGAGATTGAGGGTCGTGCAGCTGAATACTCGGAGAGGAGCTGATGTTATAGTTTGAGGGCCCTACAGCTGAAGACCCGGAGAGTATCTGATCTTCGAGATTGAGGGTCATGCAGCTGAAGACTCCGGGAGGAGCTGAGTTGCTAATTTGAGGGTCTTGCAGCTGCTGACTTGGGGAGGAGCTGATGTTCTAGTTTGAGGGCCCTACAGTTGGAAATCTGTACAGGAGCTGATGTTCTAGTTTGAGGGTCATGCAGGTGAAAAATCGGGGAGGAGCTGATATTCTAGTTTGAGGGCCCTGCAGCTAGAGATGCAGACAGGAGCTGATGTTGTAGTTTGAGGGTCGTACAGCTGAAGATTCAGGGAGGAGCTGCTCGTGTATTTTTAGGGTCATGCAGCTGCAGACCCGGAGAGGAGCTGATGTTAAAGATTGAGGGTCATGCAGCTGAAGACTCTGGGAGGAGCTGACGTTCTAATTTGAGGTCCCTACAGGTGGACACCGAGAGAGGAGCTTATGTTCTAGATTGAGGGTCATGCAGCAGAAGACTCGGGGAAGAGCTGAGGTTGTAGTTTGAGGGTCGTGCAGCTGGAGAACCAGACAGGAGCTGATGTTGTAGATTGAGCGTCGTGCAGCTGAAGACTCAGGGAGGAGCTGATGTTGTTCGTTTTGAGGGTGTTTCAGCTGGAGACTCAGGGAGGAGCTGACGTTCTAGATTGAGGGTCTTGCAGCTGCAGACCTGTAGAGGAACTGATGTTCTAGATTGAGGGTCACGCAGCTGAAGACTTGGGGAGAAGCTGATGTTCTAACTTGAGGGTCGTGCAGCTGAGGACTCGGGGAGGAGCTGATGTTGACAGCTGTGCAGCTGGAGATCCGGCGGGGAGCTGATGTTCCGGTTTGAGGGCCGGGGAGCTGATGTTCCAGTTTGATGGCCGTGCACCTGGAGACCCAGGGAGGAACATCAAACTGGAACATCTGCTCCCCGCAGTGCCTCCAGCTGCATGGCTCCCAAACTGGAACATCGGTTCCCACCCGGGTCTCCAGCTGCACGGCCCTCAAACTGCAACATCGGCTATCCCCGAGTCTCCAGCTGCACGGCCCTCAAACTGGAACATCAGCTTCTCCCCAAGTCTTTCAGCTGAATGGCCCTCAAACTGGAACTTCAGCTCCCCACCGGGTATCCAGCTGCATGGCCCTCAAACTGGAAGTTCAGCTCCCCACCGGGTCTCCAGCTGCACGGCCCTCAGACTGGAACATCAGCTCCCCACTGGGTCTCCAGCTGCACGGCCCTCAGACTGGAACATCAGCTCCCCACCGGGTCTCCAGCTTCACGGCCCTCAAACTGGAACTTCAGCTCCCCAACGGGTCTCCAGCTTCACGGCCCTCAAACTGGAACTTCAGCTCCCCACCGGGTATCCAGCTGCATGGCCCTCAAACCGGAAGTTCGGCTCCCCCGCGGGTCTCCAGCTGCACGGCCCTCAGACTGGAACATCAGCTCCCCGCCGGGTCTCCAGCTGCACGGCCCTCAAACTGGAATAGTTTGAACTCAGCGGGGAGCTGATGTTCCAGTTTGAGGGCTGTGCAGCTGGAGACCCGGCAGGGAGCTGATGTTCCGGTTGTAGGGCTGTGCAGCCGGAGACCCAGGGGGAAGCTGATGTTCCAGTTGTAGGGCCGTGCTACTGGAGACCCAGGGGTGGAGCTGATGTTCCAGTTTGAGGGCCATGCAGTTGATGACCCGGCGGGGAGCTGATGTTCAAGTTTGAGGTCTGTGCAGCTGGAGACCCGCGGGGGAGCTGATGTTCCAGTTTGATGGCCATGCAGCTGGAGGCTCTGATGGGAGCTGATGTTGCAATTTGAGGGCCATGCAGCTGGAGACCTGGCGGGGAGGTGATGTTCCAGTTTGAGGGCCATGCAGCTGGTGACCTGGCAGGGAGCTGATGTTCCAGTTTGAGGACCGTGCTCCTGGAGACCTAGCGGGGAGCTGATGTTCCAGTTTAAGGCCATGCAGCTGTATGCCCGGGGGGAACTGATGTTGCAGTTTGAGGGCCGTGCATCGGGAGACCCGGTGGGGAGCCAGTGTTGCAGGTTGAGGGCCGTGCAGCTGGAGACCCTGTGGGGAGCTGATGTTCTTGTTTGAGAGCCGTGCAGCTGGAGACCCTGTGGGGAGCTGATGTTCCTGTTTGAGAGCTGTGCAGCTGGAGATCTGGTGGGGAGCTGATGTTCCAGTATGAGGGCCGTGCGGCTGGAGACCTGGTGGGGAGCTGATGTTCCAGTTTGAGGGCCGTGCACCTGGAGACCCGGCAGGGAGCTGATGTTCCAGTTTGAGGGCTGTGCAGCTGGATACCGGGGGTGGAGCTGATGTTCCAGTTTGAGGGCCATGCATCTGGAGACCCAGTTGGTAGCCAGTGTTGCAGGTTGAGGGCTGTGGAGTTGGAGACCCGGGTTGGGGGGAGCTGATGTTCCAGGTTGAGGGCCATGCTGCTGGAGACCCAGCGGGGAGCTGATGTTGCAGTTTGAGGCGGTGCAGCTGGACATGCAGGGGGGAAGTGATGTTGCAATTTGAGGGCTGTGCAGCTGGAGACCCTGTGGGGAGCTGATGTTCCTGTTTGAGGGTCTCGGAGCTGATGTTCCAGTTTAAGGCCATGCAGCTGGAGACCCGGTGGGGAGCTGATGTTCCAGTTTGAGGGCCATGCATCTGGAGACCCGGTGGGGAGCTGATGTTGCAGGTTGAGGGCCATTCATCTGGAGACCCAGTGGGGAGCTGATGTTGCAGGTTGAGGGCTGTGCACCTGGAGCCCCGGGGTGGAGCTGATATTCCAGTTTGAGGGCCGTGCAGCTGGCAATCTGGTGGGGAGCTGATGTTCCAGTTTGAGGGCCATGCAGCTGGAGACCGGGCAGGGAGCTCATGTTCCAGTTTGCAGGCAGTGCAGCTGGAGACCCGGCGGGGAGCTGATGTTCCAGTTTGAGGTCCGTGCAGCTGGAGATCTGGTGGGGAGCTGATGTTCCAGTTTGAGGGCCCTGCAGCTGGAGACCCGTGGGGATCTGATGTTCCAGTTTGAGGGTGGTGCTGCTGGCGACCCAGGCGGGAGCTGATGTTCTAGTTTTAGGGCCCTACAGCTGGAGACCCGGGGAGGAGCTGACATTCCCTTTCGAGGGCTGTGCAGGTGGAGACCTGGGGAGGAACTGATGTTGTTCTAATTTGAGTGTGGTGCAGCTGGAGATCCAGGGATGAGATGGCCCTGCGGTTCAAATATGAGGGTCCCGGAGCTGGACTCTACGTGAGGAACCAATGCTGCCTCTGATGTCTTAGGTTGTGGAGCTGGAAACTCGCGGAGGAGCTGGTATTGGTGTTTCTAGTTGAGGGTCGTGGTATTTCCAGGGTTTCACAGAGGCCAGATTTTATTTCAGTTACTCAGAAGAGAAAGAAAATGTCTTCTGAAAGAGGTGAACTCAGTCATTACCAATAGAAAAAGTATCCACTGTATTTATCTCTTATACAAACAGAAAAATATAACATTTTCCCCCTTAGAATATATATATATATATATATATATATATATATATATATATATATATATATATAAAACTTAAGGTTCTATTGTATGTATCCGAACAATAAAATCTGGAAACCAGCATGAAACTCTATTATTCACATGTTAAAATGTTGAAACTATGACCAAAATATGAAAACTGCTGGAGCTATCAGAAAGACACAAGACAAAAAGCTTCTTGCATATGTATAAACTAAATGTGATAATCTCAAAAAACTGTTCAAAATTATAATTACTTTCCAGTTTAAAAACTTTAATCCTAAATTAAAAAAAAAAATCTATACACAAACCACTGATTTGCCCAGACCAAAGAAAGAAAGAAAGAAAGAAAAGAAAGAAAGAAAGAAAGAAAGAAAGAAAGAAAGAAAGAAAGAAAGAAAGAAAGAAAGAAAGAAAGAAAAAGAAATCAGCGGTAAGGTAAGCAGGACCCAGAGGAGCTGATATTCACAGTTCTTACATGGACAACTCTTTCAGGAATTATCCATAAAGTACTTTATTTTACAACCTGCTTTTCTTATAAAACTAAAGGTGCACTTTTTTACATAAAAGTTTTATACAGTGTTAAAACCAGAACTGTGTGTAAAATACTGCATGTAAATGTTTCTAAATAGTCTTGTTCCAGTGGTTCATCGGTGACTTCTGTGGCTTCGTCATCATTATCCATGGATGATTCTGAAAGAATCTCTCCAGTTTTACTGGAATTGGATCCTACTAATTCTTCTGTTTCACGGCAGTCAGAAGAACCACTACTTTCAGGGCCTTCGTTTTCACTACCTTCAGAATGTAGTAAATCTTTCTCAGCTTGAGACACATCAGATTCCTCCATTTCATTATTTTCCTCAGAAGTCTCTTCATTCACAGTTGAGGCATCATCAGATTCTTTTTCTTGGTTTTTTCTTTCTGGGACCATTTCTCTTGATGTCATAAAAGACTCTAAAAATAAGCAAATGTTGTTGTACTTAAATTTTATATTCAAAATACCTCCACAGTTAAGTTTCGTGAATTCTGATGTTCTGTAGTTCAAATCACATCCCCTGAAATTCAGCAGCAACTGCATACAGGTGGGAGAAAAGCCCAGCGTCGACATTACAAGGAGTTCCATGATGTACAATTCTTTCACAAAAACAATGAATGCAAGAATTTGAGGATCTCCTTACTCCTCCCTTTTACAGATGGTCTCTCAATCCCTTCTTCTTCCTCTTCATCTTCATCTTCTTCTGAACGCGCTGCCGGGTACCATGGCTTTTTTTGTCTTTATCATGAGATGAAGGTGATGCTTCTGTTTCTTCTACCATAACTGAAGAAATTTCGCTGCAAGTCGCTTGACTGGCTATTTCTCCGACTTCGCCTTTTTTGTCAAACCTGAGTCTTTTTACCTCATGCCCCTCAGCTTCCACAGCATCTTCATCTGGATGTTTATTTCTCAAAGGGCTCACTGAGGAAACTTCTGATTCAGATGTCGAAGAGTCACTGAGTTTTCTCTTCATTTTGCTGCAAATTTGCCTCTTTGCTGTCTGTGCTCTCAGGCCACCCATTTGTTGTCATGGGGGCTGACAGAGAAACCTTTGGTCGATTACGTGGCCTGGGTGTCCCAGGCCCATTTATATTAGACCTCTCAGTATAGCTTGGTGCATTTCCAGGAAACATCACACCATTCATTCGATTTAAACTATTGGAATTGTTTTTCTCTGAAGAAGGATAAACACAGCTAACAACCATCACGTTCTTTTCTACTCCTCTGAGAAATTTGTCTGTTCCTGTATAGTTTCTCCTCGGATCTGTTAACAATTCACATAATCGCTGAATAGTAAAAGGGATACGGTTAAATCCAGTGACAGTTTTTCAGTATTCTTCCCTTTGTTTCATCACAGGGAATATATTCGACATTAGGGTTGGGAGGACCTCTTGGCGCAGGAGCTGAAGTTCTGAAATCATCCATCACTTTCTCCAGTTTGAAAATAAAATAGCCTTTAAATTGGGACCACGGAATCTGTTTCTCCAGTCTTGGCTACATGACAAAAGGAACTGATCCAGGACAGGACAGACTTTCTTTTTTGCCTCTTCTCAAAATCTTCCAGCGCCTCCTGGAGCCTGTCGACGTCCATGGCTTCCCGGAGTCCCTCACAGCCTCCGCCTCCCTCCGCGGGTCTCTTGGGGACCGGAACGCCTCCCCCCACCCCCCGACGTCCTCCCACTCCCTCGCACACCCTCCAGCACGCAGGCCAAGTGGGGTGGGGGGGAACGAAGGGAGCCGGGGAAGCGTGTGAGAGAGTGAGACCGACAGAGTGAGCACCTCCCCAAGCCGCTACCACCAGCCCTCCAACATGGCGCCTGGCACATCACCCTAAAAAGTCATTTCTTGGAGAAGCGATGGATGACAGAGATTAATCTGAGAGTTACTATTAATGGAGAAACTTAGAACTTACCATTTTTCCTGTGAGGTTTCGGTGCTGATACTTCTATTCTGTGAGTTCTGGCAATTGTGTCCGTTCACCCAGCCTGGTGATGCAGCAGGTGTCACAGAAGGACCCTGTCCCAGCTGGTCCTGCTCCACTGCTAGGATGGTGTGGCCTCTGATCTGTGACCGTGTCTTGAGGGGAGACCAGGCCCTTGATCACAAGCGTATCCATGGTGAGGTTCCGTGGATGGAAGCTCATGGATGTTCCTTCCTGATGTTCATCTGCCACCATGCTATTGAATGCATCTTGTTTATAACTGTCTTCTAAATATTGAATAGAAATAAAGCGTTTTTACAGTATGGGTAAGGTATAAAGAATATTGACACATTGGACACAGAGGACCTCCACCAAGTTTAGGGAGTAGAATCTGAAGAGACATAGCTTTGGATGCTCCCTGGAGGCCCTGCCTGAGTCCCAGTCCCTTCCCTTCTCCTACGGAGGGAATCACTTCCTGCTTTAGTCTTTATTATTTGCACACTTTCCTTCATAGTATGTTTCTTTCACCGTGTGTGTACATCCCTAAAAGATATGCCATTTAGTTTTTGAACTTTCTGTTTTCTTTTTGAGGCAGGGTCTTGCTCTGTTGCCTCGGCTGTAGTTTTGAACTTTGACGTGAGGGAATTCTCCTGCGTGGCTGCTCCTGCACTGCATGGCTCTGAGCACCTGCTCTGTGTCTATTTTTGTCCTCCATTCTCTCCCTGAGACCCACCCACACTGACATGGCTCATTTTCATTGCTGCATGGTCTCCCGTCGTCTGAGGGGAGCATGGGAAATGTCTTCATCTTCCCGTGGATGAGTGTTTGGCCAGGTTGGGGCCCTTAGGACTGTGTTTTGTTGGGAACGTTCTTGGGCATTTCTTTTGTACACAAGCGCAAGTTTCTTCTGGTCAGTAGCTTTCAAATTTTAAAATTTCATCCCAGGTAAAAATGTAATTTTCCTCATAACCCACAACACACACACTTTCATATACAAGCATAGCAGAAATATACTTCACAAGCGTTAGCAGTGCCTGGTGTTCCTGCTTCTCTCCATTCTCCCCAACGCTGGCATGGATTGGGTTGTGGGATTTTTGCCCGTCTGGTGGTTGTCACGTGATATCTCCCCCTGTTAGGCTGAGCCCCTCTTCATGTTTTCATTAGCCATTCCTCCACATTTCCTCTTCTGTGGAGGGCCGGTTCAGCTCTTTTGCCCAGTTTCTGTTAAGTTGTTTGAATTTTTGCACTTTTCCTTTATTATTCCTATTACTATGTTTTTGAGACAATATCACTCTGCCACCCAGGCTGGAGTGCAGTGGCGCGATCTCAGCTCACTGCAACCTCCATCTTCTGGGTTCAAATGATTCTCCTGCCTCAGCCTCCCAAGTGGCTGGGATTACAGGCACGCACCACCACGCCCAACTAATTTTTATATGTTTACTACAGATGGGGTTTCACCATGTTGTCCAGGCTGGTCTGAAACTCCTGACCTCAGGTGATTCTCCCACCTCAGCCTCCCAAAGTGCTGGGATTATGTGGGTGGCAAGCCACCCAGGCACCGAGGCAAGAGACAGAGGACACGAGCTGTTCCAGTATAATAAAATATAAAACAAGAATAGTTATACCAGATATAGATCTTAGATATGATTATATATGAATATCATTAATCATTAGTTTGTAGCAATTACTTTTTATTCCAATATTATGATAATCCTTGCTCTATAATCGTAGCCTAGGAAAAACCAGGCCATACAGAGATAGGAGCTGAGGGGACATAGTGAGGTGTGACCAGAAGACAAGAGTGCGAGCCTTCTGTTATGCCCGGACCGGGCCACCAGAGGGCTCCTTGGTCTAGCGGTGATGCCAGCGTCTGGGAAGATGCCTGTTACCAGGCGGATAGCAAAAGGTGTCAAGGAACAACACCCGATACTTAGCAGACCGGGAAAGGGCGGGGAGGGGGGGGGGTCTCCCTTTCCCCGGGGGAGTTTAGAGAAGACTCTGCTCCTCCACCTCTTGTGGAGGGCCTGACATCAGTCAGGCTCGCCTGCAGTTATCCGGAGGCCTAACCGTCTCCCTGTGATGCTGTGCTTCAGTGGTCACGCTCCTAGTCCGCCTTCATGTTTCATCCTGTACACCTGGCTCTGCCTTCTAGATAGCAGTAGTAAATTAGTAAAAATACTAATAGTCCCTGATATGCGGAAATAATGGCATAAGCTGTCTTTCTCTCTGTCTCCTCTCCCTCTCTGCCTCGGCTGCCAGGCAGGGAAGGGCCCCCTGTCCAGTGGACACGTGACCCACGTGACCTTACCTATCATTGCAGGTGACTCACATTCTTTACCCTGCCCCTTCTGCCTTGTATCCAATAAATAACAGCGCAGCCAGACATTCGGGGCACTACCGTTCTCCGCGCATTGGTGGTAGTGGCCCCCCGGGCCCAGCTGCCCTTTCTCTTATCTCTTTGTCTTGTGTCTTTATTTCTACACTCTCTCGTCGCCGCACACAGGGAGAGACCCACCGACCCTGTGGGGCTGGTCCCTGCAGGGTTATAGGCATGAGCCACCATGCCCGGCCTGCTTTTTTCTTTTTCAAAAGGACTCTTTCTAGATTATACCTATTCATTCCGGTGACTATATGTGGGGCAAAGATGGGTTTGAATCCACCAGGATAAACGTGCCGGATCTCCTCTCTGATGGAAGAAGAGACAGGGATAGAAGGGTGCAGAGAATCAGAGCCAAGAGGAGGCCGAGTCAGGCGGGGGTTGCAGGCTGCTGTGAGGACTTGGCTGCTTCTCTGAGTCTGGTGGGATTAGCAGGGGATTTAAACAGAGGAACCGTGGGATCTCCCTTATGCATTTCTGCCATGGTTGGCTCAGCTGAACACACCTCTTGAGCAAGACTTGGTCTTGGACACCCAGAGGCCCTTGGTTGAGGGTTTACCTCCTGGCGTGGCCACTGACACATCCACGTTTGTCTCCCACACGGCTGGGCGGCCCCGAGACCTGCTGTGCGTGCCCTTCTCATTGGTGGCATTTCTCAAGTTTGTCCCCTCTCAAGTCTGCCCCATCCGGAAAACCAAACACCTCTCTCTCCTACATGGAAACCCCCGTCAGCACCTCCTCCTGACTCACAGGGCATCCCGTCAACATCACAGTCCCAACCTTCCCACATGGAGAAGCTCATGGGACCCCCGATGGACCAGGACAGTGCCAGCACTAAGACGTGCCCTGAAACTCACAGGAAGAGCGGACCAAGAAGCCGGGAACAGCACGGGGCACTGGGAGCTGCAAACGCCCACGATACTGTGAGAGACGGAGAAAGGTATGACAGGAGGAGCAGACCAAGAAGACGGGAACAGCACGGCGCACTGGGAGCTGCAAATGCCCACGATACCGTGAGAGATGGAGAAAGGTATGGCCATGGCGGTCACAAAATGTTCCTCAACATTTATTAAAGGCCTAAATGGAGAACATAACGCTATCAAACCCTTAGCTAAAAACACAGGGGAAAATTCGTATGGCCTGGGGTTAGGCGAAAAGTTCTTAGACATGACACCAAAAGCATGATTCATAAGATTGACAAATTAAATTTAGTCATAAATTTAAAATTATAATTCTATAAAGCAATATAAAAATCCAAAGAGAATGAAACATGAACTATGGTCTAGAAATAAACATTTGTGAATCACACGTCTCACAACCTACTGGCACGCAGGATATATGAAGAACCATCAAAACTTAACCATAAGAAAGTAAAAACCCCAGTATTAAAGAGAGGGCCAATATTGGAACGGAGGCCTCATCAAAGAAGGTATAAGGAGGGCATATTGCCCGAGAAAGAGGCTCAACATCATAGAGATGCTGGAGAAATGCCAGTCAGCAGTACCTCTGCAAATCCATTAAAATGGCTAAAAACAGACAAAACCCATGGGCCAACCCAGGTTCTAGTGATGATGCAGAGGAACTGGGACCCTCATAAGCTGCAGTGGGAATGGGAGGGGTCCCGCCATGCTGGAAAGTGGTCCTGGAGTTTCTTACGAAGTTAAGCACATCCTTACCATGTCATCCAGCAACCCCACTGCTGAAATGTCCCCCAAGGGAAAACTTAAACGTGCACACACAAACCTGCACACAAGTGTTTAGGCCTCATTCCTCATTGCCAATAACTGGAAGAAAACAAAATGTCCGTCGGCAGGAGCAGGAGAAGGCGTGAACTAACGCGGATGCTTCCACACAGGGGGCACCAACCAGCAGTGGAAAGATGCACCCAAATGCCCCAGGTCTCCCAGGCTACATGCCCGTTGAAGGAAGCTAGTTTCGGTGGGCACAGGCCAAAGGATGCCAACACATGACATCTTGGAGAAGACAGTGTACCGTGTCGGGGAGCAGGGCAGTGGTTTCGAGGGGCTACGGGTGGAGGGGCGAATGGAGGAGCTCTCTGGGGCGATGGCGTGAGCACCTGCACCTCACTGTGGGCTGCTGCGGCTGAGGGGCTGGTACGGCAAACACTGGCTTCAGTACATGCAGACTGAAGGAGGAAGGCTCCCACAACTCAGAGACAGAGGGTGTCGCCTCCATGAAACAAAAACATATTTTAAAAAAAAACCTCTTAAAATTAAGAAAAAAACCACAAAAAGTATTTCATAAGCGCATTGACTTTGAGTTGACACAATCTACCTGGGAGCATGGAACTGAAACCACAGGCTTGGCAATCCCGGAGGGAGAGGGTGGAGGGTTTAGACCTCAATTGAAGGGCTCAGTACCTGGCTATAGGAAATAACATTTAAAAAGCAGCAGGGTGGAAATAATTTCTGCTGATGAGGTTGCATCTCTCCAGATAGCCGGCAGAGTAAATTAAAGCAATATAGTCTTGCTCTGTTGCCCAGGCTGGAGTGAAGTGGCGCCATCTCCGCTCACTGTAAGCTCCGCGGGAGAATCTCTTGAACCCTGGAGGCAGAGGTTGCGGTGAGCCGAGATCCCGCCATTCCACTCCAGCCTGGGCAACAAGAGCGAAACTCCGTCTCAAACCAAACAAAATTAGGTAACTAACCCAGGACTAAAACAGCGTAACTTTAAAAAAATAAGTCTAGGAGGTATGATGTTCATTCCCTGCAAGCCAATAAAGGTCACGTCTGGGGCATACATCTAAAAAAATAATCCTAAAGAGAAAGTTATGGTCACAAATATGTTCTGTATGGTGTTATTAAGAGCAAAAATGGGAAACAACCCAAATATCAGTAAAATGGGACTGAACCCTTGCAAATTTACTAAAATAAAATTGTTAAACATGATGCACAAGACGAAGATTTTAATAAAGTGAAAAGACAGGAAACATACTTACTAATGATTATTGGTTTATTTTTCATGCCACTTCATTCCACAAAAAGATTTCAGATATCTTAGAAAAAGACACACTAGAAATATTAAAATACTATCTGAACCAGAAGCAGAATCAGGGTAAGCTAGCAGAAAGGCGTATGAGCCAAAGGGATCTACCCAGCTTTCAAAGCTGACCACGGCCGTGCGCAGTGGCTCTGTCTGTAATCTCCGCACTTGGGGAGGCCGAGGAGGTAGGATCGCTTGAGGCCACAAGTTCGAGACCAGCCTGGGCAACAGAGCAAGATCCCGCCTCTACCAAAAATTTAAAAATCAGCCGGAAGCCAGACACTAGGGACATGGCTGAGGATCGCTCCCGCCCCTCGGAGGCCAGAAACCGAGGGTCACTCCCGCTCTCTAGAGGCCGGAGGCCCCGGGCCGCTCCCGCCCACCTCCGCGGACGAGCGCCGCCCCTTCGACCCCATTCCCTGAGGTCTGGACGTTCAGGCCCTCTCGGTCTGGGAGATCCCGGAGAACCACCCACGGGGCTTTAAAAAATGTTGGTGCCCAACATCTCCCCGAAATAGGGCCCGCCCTATCTCGGTCGGGGAGCGCGGGACCTCCGTGGCCACCCAGCGCCACCGTCCGCGGGTCCGCTTTGCGCAGGCGCGGCGTCCCCGCCCATTAGACCCCTGCCCGGGCGTGTCGTGGTGCGCAGGCGCGATGTCCCCCACTAGCGCCCCGCCTTGACCCGGCCGTGGTGCGCAGGCGCAGTCTGCGCAGGGACTGGCGGGACTGCGCGGCGGCGACTACAGACGTGTCGGGGGTCCGGGGCCTGTCGCGGTTGCCAAGCGCTCGGCGCTTGGCGCTGGCGCTGGCCAAGGCGGTGAGTCCCTGCCGCGGACCGGGGCAGGGCAGGCGGGGGGCGAGGCGGCGGTAGGAGCGGGACGGTCCCCAGCGGGTCCGAGCGGAGCGGGCGCCGGGTGCCCGCGCCCCCTGCCCGGGGATCGGGAAGGGGCTGGGAGAGCCCTGGGCCGGTGCGAGGGGGAGCCGCGGAGTGTACTCGGGGGCCTGGGGAGCTCGGTCCTTAGCAGGTAGGCCGCGTCCCGGTGAAGGTCGCGACCCCGCGGGCTTGCTGGGCGTCCCCTCCGCCGCTTTGGTCCGGGCCTGGGGTCCGGCGACCTCGCGGGCTGAGGTAGCCCCTCGCCTCTGCCTGGCGGGTGGACTCGGGGAGGAGTCGTGTCTGCCCAAGGTCACCGGGGTGGAGTCCTGGCTGGGCCGGGCCTCTGCCGCCCTCTGTGAGGGTTGTCCTGCGGGGCCGCCCGCAGCCCGTGGGTGGGGCCGGCGGGGCGGGTGAAACCGCCTGGGTGGGTGCGAGGAGTGGCCGGGCTCGGCCGGGTGGGTGTCCGGTGGGAAGCGCGGCGCGCCCGAGCTTGGGCTTGCAGTTCCCCTTTCCAGAGAGCGCAAATCTGTGCATGTCCACTTCGGGATCTTGGAAGTTAAGGACCTGTACTTTGGGTCCCGTTTGGTGGCCCTTGTGCCACAAAAATGTGCCGGTGTTTAAAAGCAGCTGTGCCAGTTTTTAAAAATCAGACGGAGAGCTCAGGGCACTGACCGAGCGAGGACTCCAGGACCTGTGCTTGCCTGTGCGCTGAGTACCTCGAGGGCCGGGCTCGGCTTAGTCCAGGATGATGGTCAGGGTTATACTTCCCTGAGCCCTTGCTCTCTGAGTGTCTGAATGTGCCCTCTACGATTGCATCTTCAGAATCGGCCTTCTAGGATTTCATTTAATCAAGCGAAATTGGATAGGTTTAGTTGTTTGGTTCTTTTAAATGAACTTAGCCACCCACCTCTTAATTACAAAGTAATTTTAAATTGCAGAGTAAAAATCTCAATAGAGGAACCAAGGCATTCAGCAATATTGATTTGAATTATGCCTGTGATTGTGCAATTTTCTCCTTTTTGAAATAGTTATTGAAAATCTCTTTGAATTAAATGTGAGGATTAGTCATACAGCCATCCTGTCAACATCGGAAAGCGTGTAAACCGTTCTAGCGTGTTGCTGTGGTTGGTGCTGACTGAGCAGAGACCCCCGCCGCATCTTGGGCTCTTAGGAGCTGCTGGGAGGGCGTCCACAAGCAGGAGGTGAAGCCCATGGTCAGTGGGACTTTTTAGGGGCAATGGTAGCTTGTGGTTGGAGAGAAGCTAGATAGAGCCAGTGCCTTTGTCCCCAACCCAGATGGTGCCCAGTGTTCCTTCTGCAGACTAAGGCCCCAGGCACCTCAGACCAGATGGCAAGATAGCAAAATGGAACCAAAATTTAGTCTTGGGTTTTGTAAAAGTCTTTTTATCTTGATGAAGGTAGCTTTTCCTACAGAAAGTCGTGCGTTTTTGGGTTCTTCGTTGGCTGCTTTTGTGATTGTGTAGGCTGTACATGCAGATTCGTTTCTTGCTCATGATTTATAGGTGCATTTTATTCGATGAGGACCCCTTACTTTGCTAGATTTCGGATATGAATGTCTCTGCACTTGTTACTTTTCCCCCTCCACCTCCTGATTCAGTCATCTGAAATTCTGTATTGTTAAGCAAGGTCTAAGTATTCCTTTTAGTTATATGTTCCCCATGTTTTTTCTTAGAGGAAATGTTTGATAGTTTCTCCTAAAAAATTAATAATTGGCACAAAAGACTAGTTTTGTGTCAAAAGTAGTTTTGAGTTTTATCTAAAGACTGACATTGGCTTGAAGTTGGGCTTTCCAGATTCAAAAATCTGCCCCAGATGAGATTTAGATGCAGAGGGTTAGTGTCCTTTTCCCCAGGGGGATGGCGTGATGATTTGTTCAAGATTGTGTTATAGTAGCTGCCCCTTTTAAGGCAGCTGTGTGTGTGTGTGGTGGGGAGTGGGCAGTGTGTATTCCACATCAACATCCTAGAAAGAACGAATAAACATTTAGTGATCTCACTGTTTCTACTTACATTTGGTATAATGTACTGTTTTTATTGGTGCTATTACCTATGTTAATAGGGCACTTTACAAAATTTTCAAGAACGTTTTTATTAAAATTATTTCAAAGACTTCTTTCTTAAAATATGATTTTACCATGTAAAAAATTATACTAAGGTAGAAGAATATTCGTTCTTTCTCATTTTCTGAAAAAAGAAAAAACTAAATTAGCTTATGTCAATAAAAACAGACTAGAAATTGGAGAAATGAAGAATAATTTTTTATCCCACATAATAAGTAATTTGTGAATTGCAAGTATTTCTAAATACTTGAAGACATCCCTCACATCCCCTCTTCTGATTGCTGAGTGCATAATTTCCTAAAGCTTTTTTTTTTCTTTTGTTTTTTTGGAGACATTGTCTCGCTCTGTCGCCCAGGCCGGAGTACAGTGGCACAGTCTCGGCTCACTGCAACCTCTGCCTCCTGGGTTCAAGCGATTCTCCTGCCTCAGCTTCCCAAGTAGCTGGGATTACAGGTGCCCGCCACCACGACCAGCTAATTTTTAGTAGAGAGGGGGTTTTGCCATGTTGGCCAGACTGGTCTCGAACTCCTGACTTCAGGTGATCTGCCCACCTTGGCCTCCCAAAATGCTGGGATTACAGGCATGAGCCACCACGCCCAGCCCCTAAAACTATTCTTGATGATATTTCTGAGACTATTCAGTGGTCTTCTAAAATGCCGCCAGCAGAATGGAAAACGTATCCCCTAAATGGCTGGCCAACCTTAGCATATGGGACAGTGTGACCTCTCTCACACAGAGCCACTAAAAACTAAACACTAAAACCAGTTTTCTTGAGTAAAGGTTTCTAAGATGGAAAATTTAAGCAGTGAGATATGTCAAGTTGTAGACGTTGGCCAGGAAAAAGCCAGCATCAACCAGGCAGGGGAGAGTGTGCATCCGACATCCTCCTGTGTGATGAAGGGATGACACCTCTTCCCTCTGGGCTGTCAGCCTTTACTGTTCCAGGATACAGATCTCCTGATTCAGGTGTCCAGTGCCTTTTGAACTGACCGCAAGCCCTCCTGGACGATTGGAACTGTAATGTGGAAAGGGCTCTGATGGAGCCGGTTAAAATGCTTCATTATTTGCAAAATACCACATACAGTAATACGATCTGGATGTCTTTCCCCTCCTCCACTAAGTAGCATAAGTGAAGACTTCCCAGAGGAAGTGCGTCTTTTTCATCTCGTATCTGAGTCAGTGAGTATCCTTTTTGGAAACAAGCTTCATCCTGGTTTTCTAGAGTGCCAAGTCAGGGTGGAAAGGAGGACCTGGGGGCTCAGTCCTTCCTTGCCCCTTGGGCTGCCCTTCAGGGTTAAATAGAGGGTCCCAGCTGAGCTCTCTGGATGCACAGGAGCACCTGGGTACATAAGAAGGTGAACAGTTTTCAAGGGGAAGTTTGAATTACTATCCCCCACAGCATTTGTTCCTTCAGGACACTAACCCTCTGGATCTGTGTCTTCTGTGTCTCCAGTGGCCAACAGTGTTGCAAACAGGAACCCGAGGTGTTCACTTCACTGTTGAAGGAACGAGAGGGCATCTGCTAAAGTTTCAGATTCCGTAAGTTCATGCTTTTTGTTCCATTATAAATGATTTTTTTGGCTTGGGGGTAAGGATCTATACCAGTTTGTTTTCATATGAGTCATAGACATAAGGGAAAAATTTCTCATAGGTATCCAATGCATGCTGAAATTATTTTCAGTGTAATAATACTTAATTGCAAGTACCAATATAAACATAGATGTTAACATTTTTACTTGTATCTGTTATGTATCTATAAATTAGATTTAAATTTAGGTCAAGTAAAGCAATAAATTAAAATGAACAGTATCTGCTGTGATAGATGATAAAATCCTACTGAAAAGAGGACCGTGGGGCCCTTCCGGTGTGGGTTCCTTGGTATTGAGTGTGCCTGTTCTCTCTCTGTTGGAAAACTGAAACGTGCTGAGAAGTTCTTTTCTCATAAGCTCACAATAGCGACTGAATGCTCCTTGGTACCTTCTCAGGCATAAGCATAGGCACGGCCCTGAAGTAGAGTTGTGGTCCTCAGTCTGATCCCATGGAATAGACCCTCTACCATTCATAGAATCTGATTATCAGTCCCTTCTCCAGGTGCGAATGTGCCTACTTCTCCCTGCACTGTTCAGGGCTCAGCCCCAGGACAGGATGGAGGCCCTGTGTGCCCAGCAGTTGCTCCTTTTATCTTTGTCAAGCTCTTTCACTGGCACAAGAGTCTTCATGTTTGGCATAGTGGAACCTGTGCTTGACAGGTGAATTTTTCTTTTCCAGATTTCTGCTCAGTATCCAGTAGTGGATCATGAATTTGATGCAGTGGTGGTAGGCGCTGGAGGGGCAGGCTTTGCGAGCTGCATTTGGCCTTTCCGAGGCAGAGTTTGATACAGCATGTGTTACCAAGCTGTTTCCTACCAGGTCACACACTGTTGCAGCGCAGGTAAGAGAAAGGTGCCCCACTGTGCTCCCACTCCGTGCAGGTCCCGCGCAGCCTCGCACTTTCTACCTGGGCAGCCTCCTGCCTCCTCCCTGTGCTCCAGCCACTTGGCCTCTTGCTGTGCCTTACTCAGCTCACCCATTCAGGGGTCTCTCCCTGGAGCCTCTTCCCTGGGGACTTTGAAGGGCGGGAGCCTTGTTGTCACTCTTAATTCAGACTCCAGTCACACTTGGGTTTTCTCTGACCATCTACCCTCCCCACCCACCCCT
Organism: Homo sapiens; assembly: GCF_000001405.40. NCBI lineage: Eukaryota > Metazoa > Chordata > Mammalia > Primates > Hominidae > Homo > Homo sapiens. Next base: position 195,663,000 of record NC_000003.12, read on the forward strand.
GCCACCCCAACACCTTAAGAAAAGGAGATCATCTAAAGAGGAGGATTCAGAATTTAGGTTGGGGAAGAAAAGGGCAAGGGTTTCATTTGTCCCTGGTGCTGCTGTCTTCTGGGACTCTCTGAGGGGTAAGACGGTGGTGGGCACACACAGCCAAAGGAAGTAGGGGTACAGGGGAGTGCGACTCTGAGTATGGAGTTTATTACTTGGCAGGAAGCACTTCTAATCTTTAACACATGCCCGTAAATGCCGTTGGGAAGATTTGTTAATAAAATTATGCGGAGAGATTCATGGAGTACCTTTTCTGTGCCAGATACGTTAGGTAATAAGCATATTACAGGTAGCCTTTCACTCACTGCTCCAGTCAGCCCTTCCTGGAGTTCCCTCTGTCTCCACCACACAGATGAGGAGACTGAGGCTAAGGGATGGAATCACTGGGTGAGTCTGGGAGGGGTTGTGATCTGGAATCTGTCAGGCCTGGCTGCTCCTCTGCTGAGGTCAGCCCTCACTGGGAGTCACCATGTGAGTAGCTGGCTTTCTCTGAATCCCCCAGCGGGTGGATTTGGGCCTGGAAGACAAAGCTGGGGCTCCTGTTTGTGGCTTGTAAGGAGTGGTTGGTGTTTCCAGGTTGGAATCAATGCTGCTCTGGGGAACATGGAGGAGGACAACTGGAGGTGGCATTTCTATGACACCGTGAAGGGCTCCGACTGGCTGGGGGACCAGGATGCCATCCACTACGTGACGGAGCAGGCCCCCACTGCCATGGTCGAGGTGATGGGCGGGAGGCTCTGGGTGCTCTGGTGGTCTGTTTCCAGTACAAGAGTCCTGGAAAAAATGTAAGCAGTTGAGGCAGATGTGGCAGCCGAAAGAATGGTGATTAGCAAAGCTCACAAGAGAAGTCTTTGTCCATCATGAACTATGTATTACATGTAATAAGAAAAACTTCTCTTTGATGAAGTGTTGACATTTTCATAAAATAGGTTAATTTGGGTTTGCAGATTTGTATTAAAGTTGTTTAGTGTAGATTAGCTGTGAATATCTTGACTCCTTTAGGGTAATAAGGCTTTTGTTTGTTTTTATCTTTCACAGGTAGAAAATTATGGCATGCCGTTTAGCAGAACTGAAGATGGGAAGATTTATCAGCGTGCATTTGGCGGACACAGCCTCAAGTTTGGAAAGGGCAGGCAGGCCCATCGGTGCTGCTGTGTGGCTGATCGGACCGGCCACTCAATATTGCACACCTTATATGGGAGGGTAAGGCTGCCCCCCGTCCACCTGAGACAGGACACATAGTGCTGGGGCTTGTGGTGACAGCGGGGAATGGGTTAGCGTGCCCAGTGAGTCAGCCAGAGATTGCGTAAAAAGCAACAGAGAACAGCCGTGTGGGGCACATGCAGCGACTGTGGATGTGACAGGAGCAGGCGTGTGCCTTGAGAAGCTGCCCCTAAGGCAATGTGTGAGTTGTTGCCTCTATGTTGGGAAGTTGAATTGATAATCTTATATACCAGGTTTTCACTTGGGATATGTGACACTCAGCATGTAAGAACAGAGCAAGCAGGCCAGGCACAGTGGCCCACGTCTGTAATCCCAGCACTTTAGGAGGCCAAGGCAGGAGGATCACTTGAGACCAGAAGTTTGAGACCAGTCTGGAGAACATAGTGAGACCCTGTCTCTACAGAAAGTTTAAAAAGTAGCTGAGCATGGTGGTACATGCTTGTAATCCCAGTTACTCAGGAGGCTGAGGCAGGAGGATCACTTGAGACAGTGAGCCATGTTCATACCACTGCACTCCAGCCTGAGCAACAGGAGACCTGTCTCAAAAAAAGACAAAGAACAAGTATTTTAAGGCTCTTTTACCACCTCTGAGTTCCTGAATGGATTGGTTTGGTTTGTTTGTTTTGTTTTGCTTTGTTTTTGAGACGGAGTCTCACTCTCACCCAGGCTGGAGTGCAGTGGCGCGATCTCTGCTCACTGCAACCTCTGCCTCCCGGGTTCAAGCGATTCTCCTGCCTCAGCCTCCAGAGTAGCTGGGACTACAGGTGCACGCCGCCACGCCTTGCTGATGTTTTGTATTTTAGTAGAGACAGGGTTTCCCATGTTGCCCAGGCTGCTCCCGAACTCCTGAGCTCAGGCAGTCCACCTGCCTCGGCCTCCCAAAGTGCTGGGATTACAGGTGTGAGCCACCACACCCGGCCATGGATTGTTTTCATATTAACTGTTATCACTGGACAAAGACTTGAGGTGACAATAGTTACTGGGTAATCAGGGTCAACTTTGGCATGACCAAACAATATCCTGAACAGTATTGATTCAGAGTAATCCATGTTCTGAGCTTTGTTGTTTTCTGATGCATGGGGACGGATCAGTAATGTGCAGGTTGTTAGAACACCAGTGACTTCTCTGTGGCTGAGTGCATCGACAAGTGTGTGGTGGGAGGAGACGGCGGCTCCTTCCGGAGCAGGAGCTGTCATGTGGGGAGCTGGCCCAGGCTCACGAGAGCGACTTGCGCTGGCTGAGGGAACGGCAGGTCCAGGCGGGCAGCGCTGTCCGGCGCCTACCTTTCTGCGGTGCCGGAATCTGCTCGTCTGCAACCGTCCGCTTTGGTAGCTGCCAGCCACATGGGGCTGTTGCTAATGTGGCAGGTGTAGCTGAAGAGCTGAACGTTTTGACTTATTTTAATTAATTAAGTGGTTATGTGTTGCCAGTAGCTCCCATCTGGGCTGTGACCCCATGGTCTGCGGATCTCACTCTGGCACCAGACTCCGAGTGGAGCTGCATGCGGCCACCGGACAGTGTGGAGTGCCTCTTCGGGTTGTGTAGAAGTAGGAAATGTGTCACCAACATAGGAGCTGTTGCTGCTGCGTTCTCTAGCACACCTGCCTTGTTGGTACTGCTGGGCGTGGAATGCCTCTCGGGCTCTGACAGTGTCATTGACACTGTTGCTGATCTCCTTGGATTTACCTGGTCCATTTGGATCAAGTTCTTTCACCTATTCACATGAGCAGATATCACCTTAAAACCTTAAAGGTTGGCTTAACACTTCTTGCCCTTTTTTTTTCTTTCTTTTAGTCTCTGCGATATGATACCAGCTGTTTTGTGGAGTATTTTGCCTTGGATCTCCTGATGGAGAATGGGGAGTGCCGTGGTGTCTTCGCACTGTGCATACAGGACGGGTCCATCCATCGCATAAGAGCAAAGAATACTATTGTTGCCACAGGGTAGGAATCTAATTTCTACTTTATTTCCTTTGTAAAAATGAATAAATTTCATTTAGAGTCTCTTTATTTTAAGGAAAATAGAGGCATTGTAGAATAGCAGTTCAGACACAGGCCTTGATATAACCACGTGAGGGTGATGGCCTTTCCCAGCCATGGTTCCTCACCTGTAAAGGGTGAGGACAGCAGCACCTGCCTCGGGGTGAGAAAGCATGGCCCTCATTAGTCGGTAGTGGCTGCCGTCAGGTTCACAGCGTACCTCTCCCGATTTTAGATGAGGAAACTGTGGCCCGAAGAGTCACATGGGGTTTTCTGGCAAAATCCCTCTTGTTTTAGTGGGTTCTATGTTTATACTGATTCCTGGGATAGATAAGTCTGTCTTCTCCACATAATGAAAATAAAAAACTTTAATTTTATACAGTGGCAGTTACTTTAGCCACTTTAAAAGTTAAGAAGTGTCAGTACAGCCAAGAAAAAAAATCAGCAAAACTACAGGGTGGGAAAAAATATTTTCCAAACCATATATCTAATGATATCTTAGTATCTAAAATAGCAAAAAAAAATAAAAAATAAAAAAAAGCCCTACTAAAACCAACCTACTAAACCCTACTAAAAAACAACCCTACTAAAAATGGGCAAAGGACTTGAATAGATATTTTTCCAGAGAAGACATACAAATGGCCAGTTGATGTATGAAAAAATGCTCAACATCACCAAGCACCAGAGAAATGCAAATTAAAACCCCAATGAGTATCATCTCATCTCGCTCCAGTTAGAATGGCTGTTACCAAGAGGACAAAAGATAGTGAGTGTTGATGAGGATGTGGAGAAAAGGGAACCCTGTGTGCTGTTGGTGGGAATGTAAATTAGTACAACTATTGTGGAAAACTCTGGAGGTTCCTCAAAAGTCACAGGACTACCATGTGCTCCAGCAACCTCATTTCTGGGTGTATATCCAAAGGGCATGAAATCAGAAGCTCAAAGAGACACCTGGACCCCCATGTTCATTGCAGCGTTATTCACAATACCCGAGATATGGAAACAACCTAAAAATTTTTGGTGTTTAATGACAATGTGGTGTGTGTACACAACTGAATATTATTCAGCTATGAAAACGAAGGAAATCCTGTCATGTGTGACAACGTGGATGAACCCAAAGTCATTATGTTAAGTGAAACGACCCAGGCACAGAAAGACAGATACTGCATGTCACTCATATGTGGATCTAAAACTGTCACAACTCACAGAAACAGAATAGGACAGTGGTTGCCAGGGGCTGGGGGAATGCAGACTGTGGCGATGCTGATTAAAGGTGTAACTTCCCGTCACAAGGTGAAGTTCTGAAGGTCTGATAAACAGCATGGTGGCTAGAGTTAATGTTATAGAGCATGGTGGCCAGAGTTAACATTATACAGCATGGTGGCTACAGTTAAAATCATACAGTACGGTGGCTATCATTAATATAACTTGAAATTTGCGAAGAGAGTAGACCTTAGGTGTCTGTATCTCCAAAAAAAAGGATAATTGTATGAGGTGATAGATGTGTATTAAGTTGATTGTGTCATCAGTTCACAAAATAAATCATCACGCTGTACACCTTAAATATATACAGTATTGTTTTTTGTTTAATTCATCAATCATACCTCAGTAAATCTGGGGGAAAAAAACAAAATCCATAAAAATTTTAAAATTTTCATTATAAAAGTAGTATATGCTTACTGGGGAAACCTTTTGAACAGCACAAATCTAAAATACAAATAGGGCCAGACGCATAGTGGCTCATGCCTGTAATCCCAGCACTTTGGGAGGCCGAAGTGGGTGGATCACCTGAGGTCAGGAGTTCAAGACCAGCGTGGCCAACGTGGCGAAACCCAGTCTCTACTAAAAATACAAAAATCAATTGGATGTGGTGGTGCACACCTGTATTCCCAGGTACTTGGGAGGCTGAGGCAGAAGAATCACTTGAACTTGGGAGCCAGAGGTTGCCGTGAGCCGAGATTGTGCCACCGTACTCCAGCCTGGGCGACAAGAGTTAGACCCTATCTCAAAATAAATAAATAAATAAATAAAATATAAATGGAAGTCTCTTCTCTGATCCCAGGCTTCTATCCTACCTGCGCAGGGTAGCAGCACCACTGGCGTGGCCCCCAGTGATGTGTGTGGGGTGTGCGTGAGTAGGGGGTTGTGTGCACACAGCACTGAGAAGATGGTGCCCGGGGGCTGCCCTGTCCGTTCTGTGATCTCATTAGACAGGAGGTCCGGACGTGGGCCACTGTGTGCAGTCACTGCTCTCTGTTGTTTCCATAGGCTACGGGCGCACCTACTTGAGCTGCACGTCTGCCCACACCAGCACCAG